>NW_025791763.1:0-284971 GCF_000001405.40 Homo sapiens
GAATTCACCAGTGAAGCTATCTGGCCCTGGACTTTTCTTTGTTTGGAAGTTTTTGATTATTAATTCAATCCCTTTAATTGTTATAGGTCTGTTCAGATGTTTTATGTCTTCTGAGTAAGTGTGGTAGTTTGTGTTTTTCAAAGAATTTGCCCATTTTACCAAGGTTATTTAACTTATTAGTGTACAATTATTCATAGTATTTTCTTATGATCCTTTTTAGTTTTGTAAAGTCAGTAGTAATACCCACACTTTTGTTCCTGATTTTAGTTATTTGCATCCTCTATCTTTTTTCTTTGTTGGTGTAGCTAAAGGTTTGCCAGTTTTGTTGATCTTTTAAAGAACCAATCTTGGTTTTAGTGGTTCTCTCTATTGTTTTTCCATTCTCGATTTCATTTATCTCCATTTTTTTATTATTAATTTCTTATGCTAGCATTGGGTTTAGTTTGCTCTTCTTTTTCTAAGTTTCTTGAAAAGTTGGGCTAGGTTATTAATTTGAGATCTTTCTTCTTTTTTAATGAGGTCATTAACTATTATAAATTTCCCTCAAAACACTGCATTTCATAAGTTTTGATGTATTGTTTATATATATATATATATTTTGTTGTTGTTTGTTTGTTTTTGGAGTCAGGATCTTATTCTGTTACCCAGGCTGGAGTGTAGTGACAAGATCTTGACTCACTACAAACTCCCCCTCCCAGGCTCAAGCAGTCCTCCTACCTCAGCCTCCTCAGTAGCTGGGTCTACAGGCATGTGCCACCACGCCCGGCTAATTTTTTGTATTTTTGGTAGAGATGGGTTTCACTATATTGCTCAGGCTGGTCTTGCACTCCTGAGCTCAAGCAATCCACCACCTCGGCCTCCCAAAGTGCTGGGACTACAGGTGTGAGCCACTACATCCAGCCTGTTTTTATATTTTTCATTCATCTCTAAGTATTTTTAAATTTCCTTTGTGATTTCTTCTTTTTTTTTTCTGGGCACCCCCCGAACCAGAACAGGTTCAGAGCAACTCCCAAGTGATTTCTTCTTAAACAACCATTGGTTAAGAGTAAGTTTAATTTCCACATATTCGTGACTTTTTCAGTTTTCTTTCTGTGATTCATTCTTATTTTTATTCCATTGTATTCAGAAAAGATATATTGTATGATAATTCAATCTTTTAAAATTTATTAAGACTTCTTTTGTGGCCTAGCAGAGGTCTATCCTGGAGAATGATCTATATGCACTTGAGAAAAATGTGTATATGCATACACATATGTTTCTATACATAACATAACATTGACCATTTTAACCATTTATTTATTTATTTTTATTTTTTGAGATGGAGTTTCACTGTTGTTGCCCAGGCTGGAGTGCAGTGGCACAATCTCAGCTCACTGCAACCTCCGCCTCCCGAGTTCAAGCTATTCTCCTATCTCAGCCTCCCAAGTAGTGGGGATTATAGGGGTGCACCACCACACCCGGCTAATGTTTTGTATTTAGTAGAGATGGGGTTTCACTGTGTTGGTCAGGCTGGTCTCGAACTCCCGACCTCCTGTGATCCACCCGCCTTGGCCCCCCAAAGTGCTGGGATTACATGCGTGAGCCACTGTGCCTGACCATTTTAACCATTTTTAAGTGTACAGTTTAATGGTATTACAATGTTATCCAACCATCACTATCCATTTCCAGAACTTTTTCATCATCGCAAACAGAAACTCTGTACCCATTAAAAAATAACTCCCTGTTATCCCCTCCCCTCAGCCCCTGGTAACTTGTATTATACTTTCCGTCTTTATGAATTTGCTTTTTAGTGGTACCCCAAGCTATGCCCTGGTCCTTCCTGGGGAGGGAGACAGGGCCATTCCACACAGACAGAACAGCCCGCCACAGCACTGTTATGAGCGCCAGGTACGAACCAGGCTTGTGGAACCTGTTATCTCTGGTCCCATTTCAGGCTTAGGGTTTCTTTAAGTTGTGATTAAAAAAAAAAAAAAAAAAGACAGAAAATAGAATTTGGGAGTAGATAACTTCTTGGGGAATTAATGTCGGGAGAATATAGCTGCCATCATTGCCAGGCTCACCTCACGCCTCCTGTCATTTTATGATCTGGCCTGCGACCCCTCACCCATAGTCAGGCTCTTATTCTAGGACCCACCTCCCAAGACAGACCTTGTTAATAACAGTCAAGAAGGCTTTTCAGCATTTTTTAAATTTACTTGTTTGTTTATTACAGACAGGGTCTCACTATGCTGCCCAGGCTGGTCTCAAACTCCTGGTCTCAAGCAATTCTCCCACCTGGCCTCCCAAAATGCTGGGATTACAGGCGTAAGTCACCAGGTCCAGTCCCAGCATTCATGTTTAAGATTTATCATGCCAGGCAAGGTACTAAACGCTTTGCAGTCACCACCACAATATCTCATGGGATCTTCCTGACAAGTCTTTGAGGAAGGCATTATCATCCCATCCTACAGATAAAGAGACTAAAGGTCAGAGAGGTTGATCATTGCCCCAGGACACTAGTTAAACAGATGAACAGATGCTCCTTTCGGAAACCATCTCTAGAATAGCCCTGATGCTCAGACAGAAAGCATCACAAGGAAGTACTCTATCTAGCTAGCTGTCTTCTCTCTCTTGGCTGTCTTGTTCCCAAACTCTGGCCTTCATGTGACCCCAGCCCTGCCTCTTCTTCTATGAGGAAGACCCCTTACCATTACACATCCCCTTTCACTGCCCCTGGCTCTGCCCGCAGTCCCCCTCCCTGGTCATACCAGAAAGCAGTCTTTGCAGCCTGAGCCCAGCCTGATTCTTCACTAGTGACAACTGAATCCTTAAGAATCTTCAAGTTCGTCTCTGTCCCAAGAGAAGCAGGGCAGGGCTGAGAAAGGATGATGACAGAGATTGGGTCCTTGGGAGGGAACCGCAGACTTCACCGGCAGGGAGAGGACTTTGCACCCAGAGAGGGAAGCCTGGGACTTGGTCCTAGACCATGGCCCATGGCAAGAGGTCAGCACAGCTTGTGGAGCTACAGGCCTGTGTGGTGCTGTTGGAGGACCAGGCAAGCTGCAGTCAGGGTCCTAGGGCCTTAAGGTGGCCCAGGGAAGGATTCAGTACACTGGGAAGTCAGATGGGAGGGCAGCTGGGGTGTGCATGGCCTGTCCACAGGCTCTGCTTGTCCTCAGGATGGAGCTTACAGGCAGAGGACACAGGTGGCTGAAAGTGCACAGGACCTGCCCAGGAGCCTCGGAGTTGGGCAGTGTCCTGGGCCAATAGCTTGGAGTAGGAACTGAAACCAGCACAAATTCTCACATCTGGACCCTGTGGTCGGAAATGCGTAGGAAGAGATGGAGGCAGGGGCTGAGATGGGAGCCACTGGACCTTACGACTCACTGGCCTCCTTTCTCAGGCAGCTGAGTTTTAAATTTTATTTAACAAATATTTATTTAAGATTTACTGTGTATCGGCTGGGTGCGATGGCTCATGCCTATAATCCCAGCACTTTGGGAGGCCGAGACGGGCAGATCACGAGGTCAGGAGACCAGCCTGGCCAACATGGTGAAACCCCGTCTCTACTAAAAATACAAAAATTAGCCAGGCATGGTGGCACACGCCTGTAATCCCAGCTACTTGGGAGGCTGAGGCAGGAGAATCGCTTGAACCCAGGAGATGGAGGTTGCAGTGAGCCAAGATCGCGCCACTGCACTCCAGCCTGGGCAATAGAGCGAGACTCCATCTCAAAAAAAAAAAAAAAAAAGATTTGCTATGTATCAGTAAGCGTTTTATATACACTAATGCATTTAATCCTCACAACCCTCAGGAAGGAATTATTAACTCCATTTTACACATGAGAACGCTAAGGCACAGAGAGGTTAAGTGACTTGCCCAAGATCACCCAGGATAGGGATTCAAACACAATCAGCCTGGTTGTAGGGTCCTTGCTCTTTACCACCAGGAGGGGAAATAATGGGCTTTTTCTCCTTCTAAAAAGGAAATATCTCTTGTTTTTCCTGATTTTGAAAGGAACTAAAAAGACACAAAAATATTTAAACAAGATAAAAGGGTATAAACAGAAAGAAGTCTCTCCAGTAGCCCTTGTTAGACATAGAGAAGTTTACTTCTGGTTTATAATGTTGCATATTATAACTAGCTCTTGGGAGATTCAATTTGCAAATCAAAATGACAGGCAGGCCCAGTGTGTGTTGCAAGACTGGGAAATTATGGAAAGCGAGGACTTGGACAGGGAGGAGGCAGCATTGGGAGTAGTGCGTAGTAACTTGTGATGTCTCTAGAACGAAAAGCCATGAAGGGCATGTTCCAGGGGGGGTCTAAGGAAGCCCAGAGGCCCAGGGGTGGGAGGCTTTGGCACTTATGAATATTCCAGGCTGGCTGTTGGGCCTTCAGGAGCAGAGCCTGGCCCTCGGCAGTGGGCACAGCTGGGGCCTCAAGCTGGCAGGCTGCAGAGGACATCCAGCTTGGCTGATCTGACCCCCTCTCCTGCCCCCTCCCAGCTCATCGCCTGGGTCTGGGGCTGGCAGGGGAGAGTGAGCTCCCCTAGGCCCCACCCAGCTTCCCTTAATGAGCCCCACTAGGAGCTCCAGCTGTCAATCACCCTGGCTCCTGGCACAGCCCAAATGTGCCTTCGGCCTTCATATTAGGACGAGGCTGGTGAGCAAAGATGCTGGGCATAGCAGCAGCAGGTCTGTTCAGGAGGGCAGTGATTAAGGACCAGCATTTCCTAGGGGATGAGTGTCTCCAGCTCCAATGAGAAGTGGGGCCCCTAAACTGTTGGATTGTTTTCCTTTCCTGGCACTTCCAAGAAGCCCAAGGCTACCTTTCTCTCCAGGGTCCCCACAGAGTGTGAGGTGTCTGGGGGAGAGAATAGAGCTTGCAGGCGAAGCACAGATCAGTTCATGCCCTCACAGGATGAGCGTAGAGCCTGGAAGATGGCGAGCAGCCAAGCAGCCAAAATCAGAGAGCCTGGAGGGGAAGGAGAGCAGAGCAGGTGCTCAGGAGCCACCTGGAGATGTCACAGTCTGCTCTGCCATCCGCCCTTCTCCGGGAACCTGCAGCTACAGGGCCATGCATTGAACCACAGGACCCAGGTCTGGAGGGCCTCAAGTCTGTGCCCTTGGTTTCAGGAAGGCTCATTAAGTCCAGCAGCTCAAGGAGAGGGAATTACATCACACTTATGAACACTCAGAGGTGAGGACATAGAGGGCCCTCTCAAAAGCTGCCTACCACAGTCCACTCTTTGGCCCCCAAAGATTCAGAACTCCCTCACAGACAAAACGCATTAACTCCTTCCCAAGGTGCCCTAAATTCTCCTTCCATTTCAGCATCAGCTGAAAGTCCAGTTCCGCATCATCATCTCAATCAGGTCCAGCTGTGATGGGAGCGCCTGGGGTGTAGCTCCAACTTTCAAGTGTGTTTCCTCTCCATCTGTGGATTCATGAAACCAAAGAGACCAGATGTCTGCCCTGCACCAATCCACCTGACATGCAGTGGTGGGACAGACATGGATCACAGCTGTAGAGATTCCTGCTCAAAAATTGGGAAAATGAGAGGTAAGAAAACCACTGGTCCACAAAAATTCTCAAATCCAGCTGACTAAAATATTGGGAGTTCCTTGATGAGGTTTCAAGACTTAGGAATAATTCTCCATGACTTTTGGCTGCATCTTTTAGGCTCTTGGCTCGGCCTCTGAGCCATCCCTCCTTTATCATAAAAGGTAACAATCCTTTGCACCTGAATGGTTTTCTCAGCCTGTTTCCTTCCAGTAAAATGTTGGAGGTCCAATAGACTTCTTTCATTTTGTACATCTTGGTCCCTTTCAGCCCAAACTGGCAGTATTTCTGCTTAGATAATTTTCTCAAAAACTTTGTGCATTTTCTGTGAATCTCACCAGGGTTCACTCTATTTGTCAAAAGTCTTGGGCTACTGCTGGGGGCCGATGCTCTTAAACTTTCTGGAGGGCCTATTGTTTTATTGGAAAGAATCAGGGAGGGACACCCTAATTCTCCTGAAAGAGCCCCATATGTGACTGAGTAATACTCTGATTCTTTGGTCTTTCTGAGTTTTTTGTTGTTGTTGTTTTCTTTTTGAGATGGAGTCTTGCTGTGTCGCCCAGCCTGGAGTGCAGTGGCGCGATCTCTGCTCCCTGCAAGCTCCACCTCCCGGGTTCACAGCATTCTCCTGCCTCAGCCTCCTGAGTAGCTGGGACTACAGGCGCCCGCCACCACGCCCCGCTAATTTTTTTGTATTTTCAGTACAGACGGGGTTTCACCGTGTTAGCCAGGATGGTCTCAATCTCCTAACTTCGTGATCCAACCGCCTCGGCCTCCCAAAGTGCTGGGATCACAGGCGTGAGCCACCGCGCCCGGCCCTGAGTCTTAATGAAAGGTTGTAGAGTCACACTCTTGCCTTTATTTTATTACCAGACCATGTTTTTCTGCCAGTGCCCAGAAGTAATACTTTTTTTCTTTTTAGAAATGGGGTCTCACTCGACCATCCTGGCTAACATAGTGAAACCCCGTCTCTACTAAAAATACAGAACAAATTAGCCGGCCATGGTGGCGGGCGCCTGTAGTCCCAGCTACTGGGGAGGCTGAGGCAGGAGGATGGCATGAACCCGGGAGGCGGAGCTTGCAGTGAGCCGAGATTGCGCCACTGCACTCCAGCCTGGGCAGCAGAGAGCGAGACTCTGTCTCAAAAAAAAAAAAGAAAGAAAGAAAGAAATGGGGTCTCACTCTGTTGCCCAGGCTGGAATGCAGTGGCACAATCTTGACTCACTGCAGCCTCAACCTCTCAGGCTCAAGTGATCCTGCCACCTTAGCCTCTGTAGTACTAGGACTACAGGTATGCACCACCATACCCAGCTAATTTTTTTTATTTTTGTAGAGACAGGGGTCTCACTATGTTGCCAAGGCTGGTCTTGAACCTCTGGGCTCAAGCAACCCTCCTGCCTCAGCCTCCCAAACTATAGGAATTATAGGCGTGAGTCACTGCACCCAGCCAAGAAGCCATTTCTTAACTTTCATATAGTTTGCCATCTAGAGAGACTGCAAACTTTCAAAATCATAAAGTCCTGGCTTCTTTTTTGTTTAATAGTTTTTTGTTTTTTTGTTTTTTGTTTTTTTTTTGAGACGGAGTCTCACTCTGTTGCCCAGACTGGAGTGCAGTGGCTGGATCTCAGCTCACTGCAAGCTCCACCTCCTGGGTTCATGCCATTCTCCTGCCTCAGCCTCCCAGGTAGCTGGGACTACAGGTGCCCGCCACCACGCCTGGCTAGTATTTTGTATTTTTAGTAGAGATGGGGTTTCACCATGTTAGCCAGGATGGTCTTGATCTCCTGACCTAATGATCCACCCACCTCGGCCTCCCAAAGTGCTGGGATTACAGGCATGAGCCACCACACCTGGCCTGTTTAATAGTTTTAATAGTCCTTCCTTTGATTTATCTTTCATCTCTTGCAATTTACTATAAGCAGCAAGAAGAAACCAGGAGACACCTTCAATACTTCACTTGAAAATCTTCTTAACTAAATCACCTAGTTCATTAGCCACGTATTCTGGCTTCCACATGATTTCAGATTGACATGTCACTAAGCTTTCTGTCACTATACAATAAGCACACACCCATCCTTCCTCTAGTTTCTAATAATATTTTCCTCATTTCCTTTTTAGCCCCCACTGGCAGCCTCCTCAAAGTCAAGATGTTTACTAACAATGTGTTCAAGGCAATTTAGGCTTTTTCTAATATGCTCCTCTAAATCTTCCCAGTCTGTGCACACCAAGGGTTCCAAAGCTGCTCCCACACTTTTAGGTGTTAGTTAGCAGCAGCCTCCTATTTCCAGTTACCAAAATCTGTATTTGTTATTGATGGAGGCACAACAAATTACCCCAAAATGTAATGACTTATAACAACAACATTATTACCTCATAGTTTCTGTAGGTTGAAACTATGGCATGCAGATTGCATGGCTTGCTACAATCAAGGTGTTGGCTGGGGCTGTGGTCTCATCTGAAAGCTTGACAAAGGAAGGCTCCAGTTCCATGCTTACTCACATTATTGTTGACAGGATTCAGTCCCTCAAGTGTTGTTGGACCAAAGACCTCAGTTCATTGCTTGTTGTAGGCTAGCAGCCACCCTCAGTCTATTGTCATGTGGGTCTCTCCATCAGACAACTCACAACATGGCAGCTTGCTTCATCACAGCAAGCCAGTAAGATGAGCCAGAAAAAGAAAGTCTGGACAAGACAGAATTCACACTCTTTTGTAACCTAAGCTAGGAAATCAATTTACCATATTCTATTTGTTAGAATCAAGTGACTGGGTCCATCCCATGTTCGATGGGAGGGGATTACATGAGGATGTGAATACCAGGAGGTGGAGATTTTTTGGAGCCAGTTCAGAAGCTGCCTACTACATAAGCCTTTTTGAAGCTCTCCCCTCCTATGGATTTGAAAACACCACACTTGCCAAGTTCTCCCCCTTCTCAGCCTCCAGAGATATTGGTGGGCCTCAGCTGTCTTCTCATACACATCTTCTCCCTAGTTGAACTTAATTCCATTGCTACTAGTGATTCTGGGATTCACGCCATTAGAAGTACTCAGAGGTATTAAGCTGACCAGAAGACAAGGCAAGACCTCCTAAAAGGTACAAGGAGTAATATAGTGAATAACCATGTCCTCATCACCAGTTTAAGAAATAAAACAAACAATACCAGTTCAGTCCCTGGGCCCCCCTTTCTATTTCTATTTATATTTTATATTTTCAGCCTTCTCTTCAGGCTGCTGTCCTGAGTTTGGTGTTTATTGTTATTATGCATTTCTTCATATTCTTACTACATATGTAGGCATTCTTAAGTCATGTTTATTGTTGTTTTGCATGTTTTAAACTTTTTGCAAACATAGTCATGTTATATGTATTTCTCTGCAACTTGCTTTGTGTTTACTCTTATTATGTATACTTGCCCATATTAATACTTGTGGGTCTGGTTTATTCTTTTCCACTGTTGCATAGTATTCCATTGCATAAACATACCACAATTATGCTATTAATGAACATTTAGTCTGTTTCCAATGAGTTCTTTTATAAACAATGCACAATGAATATTCTATGTCTCTATTAGCCATATGCGGAAGAGTTCCTGTAGAGTATGGGCTACAAATAAAATGTAGGATATGTGCATTTTCAAATTTTCTAGATAATAGTAACTAGCTCTCCAAAATTATTGTCTTGAATTTATGCTCCTACCAGCAATGTGTAAGGGTTCAATTACTCTGTCTTCTTAACATTTGAAGTGTCAAACATTGAAGTATTTGTTATATGGTGGATGTACAATGGAATGTCATTCCACTACCAGCAGTGTGGTAGACAAGATATTCTTAGGGCACCTCCTATGAAAATGAAAAGAAATAAGAAAGAGAGAGAGAGGGAAGGAAGGAATAAAGGAAGGAAGGAGGGAAGGAAGGAAGGAGGGAAGGAAGGAAGGAAAGAAGGAAGGAAGGAAGGAGAGAGGGAGTGGAAGGAGGGAGGGAGGAGGGAGGAAGGAAGGAAGGAAGGAAAGAAGGAAGGAAGGAAGGGAAGGAAATCCTAGATCTTGCCTAAACCATTGTTTGTGTTGCTTTGCTGGCTTTGTGAGAAATGGAGGGAAATTTTCAAGAGGGAAAAGTCTTGAGAGACAGAGTTGCCTGGACAGTAAATGCTACCTGCTGTCTTGCAGTCGAGATTGATCCATGGGCCAGTAGCAAAGGGCTGGAATGGGGACCTTGGCCTGAGACCTGATGAGAGGAGATAGGAACAAAGAGGGTTAAAGTGGCCCTAGGTGAGTGGCTCTCTGGCCTGCAGCAAAAGAAAATGCGAATTCTATTTGGAGGAAACCATCCCCAATGTAAGCTCTAGGGTTTCCTCCCAGATTTAGATAAACAAAATATGAACTCACAATTCATTATCACCAAAGAAACAAAGCTAGAAACACAAAAATATGAAGGCAACAAGAGATTGTCAGTAGCAAGACAGATTTTAAAACAAACTAAAGGTTAGAAATTAAAAATATAATTGTTGAAATAAAAACTCAATAAACCAATCTCCCTTATGAATATAGATGTACAAATCCTTAACAAATATTAGCAAATAAAATTTGGCAATATACAAAAAGAATTGTACCTCATGACTAAACAGGGTTCCAGCGATGGAAAGCCGGTTCAATATTTGAACATCAATCAATATAATCTACCATATTAATAGACTAAAGAAAAATACCTATGAGATTATATCAATTGGTGCAAAAAAACAGTATTGGACAAAATTCAACACCTGTTCATGATTAAACAAACAAACAAACGACTCTCAGAAAAATAGGAATAGAGGGGATGAATCTCCACAGAATTATGCTGAGAGGAAAAAAAAGTCAATCCAAAAGGTTACATACTGTATGATTCCATTTATATAACATTCTTAAAATGACAGAATTATAGAAATGGAGAATGGCAAATAGATTAATGGTTGCCAGAAGTGGGTGGGGTGGGAGAAAAGTAGGGGTGGGTAGGGGTGGGTATAAAAGGGCAGCATGAGGGATTCTTGGGTGAGGAAATGTTCCATGAGATTCCATGAGGGTGATGGAAATATTCTGTATCTTGACTGTATCATTGTCAATGTCCTGGTTATGATACTGTTCTGTAGTTTTGCAAGATGTTACCATTGGCAGAAACTGGATAGAGTACGTGGGAATTTTCTATGTTTTTTCTCAAAACTGCATGTGAATCTACAATTCTCTCAAACTAAAAAGTGAACAAAACTACTCCATGGAAGGGTTAAAGAGAAGAGTATATAAAGATGAAGAGAGAATTTATCGAAAATGGAAAGAGAGAGACCAAGGAGATAGAAAATAAGAGTAAGAAAATAAGAGGCCGGGCGCGGTGGCTCTCGCCTGTAATCCCAGCACTTTGGGAGGCCGAGGCGGGCGGATCATGAGGTCAGGAGATCGAGACCATCCTGGCTAACACGGTGAAACCCCGTCTCTACTAAAAATACAAAAACAAAATTAGCTGTGTGTGGTGGCAGGCACCTGTAGTCCCAGCTACTTGGGAGGCTGAGGCAGGAGAATGGCGTGAACCTGGGAAGAGGAGCTTGCAGGGAGCTGAGATCGCGCCAGTGTTTGCCAGCCTGGGCGACACAGTGAGACTCCATCACAAAAAAAAAAAAAAGAATAAGAAAATAAGAAGAGTAGGGTGAGAAGGTTCAACATACCCCAGTCAAAACTTCACGAGGATGAAATACAGAAAATGGAAGAGAGGCGTCTTTGAAGTGATAATGGCTGAGAAATGTCTAGTACTGAGGATAGACTAGGACCCATAGCTATAGGAAACAGGATAAATAAAAAGGAATCAATACCTAAACACACTGCAGTGGAAATGCAGAACATGTAAGACAGAAATATTTTAAAAGACCACAGGAAAAAGATCACCTATAAAGAAGCTAGAATTAGATCTGCAGTCAATTTCTCATAGCAATTATAAAAGTTAGAACACAGTGAAATTATATATACACACACATAATCATGCATGCACACACACATAAAATAGGGATATTGCTTTCTTTTCTTTTTAAAATAGACTATTTTTCAGAAGAGTTTTAGCTTCACAGCAAAATTGAATGGAAAGTACAGAGACTTCTCATATACTCCCTGTCCCCACCAACCTTCCCAGCTGACAATATTCTACACTGGAGTGTTGGACAGAGACTTCTCATATACTCCCTGTCCCCACCAACCTTCCCAGCTGACAATATTCTACACTGGAGTGTTGCATTTATTACAACTAATGAACCTATATTGACACACGGTTATCACTCAAAGTCTATAGTTAACATTAGGGTTCACCTGTGGTGTTGCATGTTCTATGGGTTTTGAAAAATGAATCATGAACTGTATCTACCACTATAGGATCATGCAGAATAATTCTACTGCCCTAAAAATCCTCTGTGATCTGCCTACTCATCCCTTTCTCCCCTCAACCTCTAACAACCACTGATCTTTTTACTATCTTTGTTTGTTTTTTACTGTTTCACTTTTTCCAGAATGTCATATAGTTTGAATCATACAGTATGTATCCGTTTCAAATTGGCTTCTTTCACTTAGTAATACTCATTTAAGTTTCCTCCGTATTTTTTCATGACTTGATTTCTTTTTAGCTCACTTCTTTTTTCTTTTTAGCTCTGAATAATAATCCACGTTTGAATGTACCAGGGTTCGTTTATCCATTCACCTACTGAAGGGCATCTTGGTTGCTTCCAGGTTTTGGCACTCATGAATAATGTTGCTCTGTGCATCCATGTGCAGGTTTTCTGTGCACATAAGTTTTCAGTTCATTTGGATAAATACCAAGAAGCATGATTGCTAGGTTGATGTATTTTTTAAATTGTTTTAAATATTTAATTTACATACCATGTGATTCTCCCAGTTAGAGTGTAGAATTGAGTGTTTTTAATATATTAACTATCACCACAATCAATTTAAGGACATTTTCATCTACCCTAAAAGGCACCCCGTATCCATTACTGTCATTCCCCTATTCTCCCGCTCCTCTCACCCCAATCCCTGGCAACCAGTAGTCTGCTTTCTGTCTCTATAGATTTGCCTGTTCCAAATATTGCATATAAATGGAATCACACAAGGCACAGTCTTTCCTGACTGGCTTGTTTTGCTTAGTATAATGTCTTCAAGGTTCATCCTATTTGTTGCATGTATCAATACTTCATTTCTTTTTATTGCTGAATAACATTTGATTATATGGATATGCTACATCTTATTTATCCACTCATCCATTGATGGACATGTAATATAAAGCTGTCACTTGTTGCCTCAATGACTCCCTGAGTGTTAGCACCCACCCTGCTTAATTTTGTTTTGTTTTGTTTTTTTATTTTACTTTAAGTTCTGGGATACAAGTGCAGAACATGCAGGTTTGTTACATAGGTATATATGTGCCATGGTGGTTTACTGCACCTATCAATCCATCATAGCTTTTAAGCCTCGCATGCATTAGGTATTTGTTCTAATGTTCTCCCTCCCCTTGCCCCTCACCCCCGACAGGCCCCATGTGATATTCCCCTCCCTGTGTCCATGTATTCTCATTGTTCAACTCCCACTTATGAGTGAGAAGATGTCGTGTTTGGTTTTCTGTTCCTGTGTTAGTTTGCTGAGAATGATGGTTTCCAGCTTCATCGATGTCCCTGTAAAGGACATGAACTCATTCTTCTTATGGCTGCATAGTATTCCATAGTGTGTATGTGCCACATTTTCTTTATCCAGTCTATCATTGATGGGCATTTGGGTTGGTTCCAAGTCTTTGCTATTGCAAATAGTGCCACAAAAAAACATACGTGTGCATGTGTCTTTATAGTAGAATGATTTATAGTCCTTTGGGTATACACCCAGTAATGGGATTGCTGGGTCAAATGGTATTTCTTGTTCTAGATCCTTGAGGAATCGCCACACTGTCTCCCACAATGGTTGAACTAATTTACACTCCCACCAACCGCACTGCTTGTTTTGACTTTTACCTAGTTATTGCTCATTTCTGGGTACCCGTCACTAACATGTGTGTTCAAGCAATAAGCCTCCTGATGACTTCCCCCTGCTTCCGCTGTCCCCTAAATATATGACAATTTTTGCTGAAATCCATAGTTAGTGTTTCCATTATTATGCTTCTGAAACTCTACTCCACAATAAGCAGGTGGAGTATTGTGATTGCATTTCCTTTCTGACATAACTTTTTGTGTTTGCCTCATTCTTTTCCATTTGTTTAGTTCTCTCTGAATCTCTGGCCACATCTTTCCCTAAATTCCAGCGGCTCTACAGCTCTATCCAAAGGCCTCTTAGCACGATTATCCCTAGGACCAAAGGCATCCATTCCATTGTTT
The DNA here is from genome assembly GCF_000001405.40 of Homo sapiens. NCBI lineage: Eukaryota > Metazoa > Chordata > Mammalia > Primates > Hominidae > Homo > Homo sapiens. The sequence continues at coordinate 13,899 of NW_025791763.1, forward strand.
TTCTCAAAGCATCCATCCTAGAGCCTCTGTCGTCTGTCCTCTTGCTGCAGTCTGAACTGGCCAGTTTCTAACTGTGGTGCACAGTAGCTTCTGAGAAAAGGCACATACGTTTGTTTGCTCAGTTATTAGTTGGCTCATTTTTCATTTTGCAAGTCCTAATACGTCTTTCTGTTTCATAGACATTTCATTGATAGTTTGGCTAGGCATAGAATGAGTTCTTTGGTTAAAAAACATTGTCAGCTTTGGCCAGGCGTGGTGGCTTCATGCCTGTAATCCCAGCACTTTGGGAGGCCGAGGCAGGTGGATCACCTGAGGCCAGGAATTCGAGACCAGCCTGGCCAACATGGTGAAACCCCGTCTCTACCAAAAATACAAAAATTAGCAGGGCGTGGTGGTGGGTGCCTGTAATACCAGCTACCAGGGAGTCTGAGGCAGGAGAATCACTTGAACCCAGGGGCCGTAGGTTGCAGTGAGCCGAGATCGTGCCACTGCAGTCCAGCCTGGGCAAGAGAGCGAAACTCTATCTCAAAAAAACAAAAAACACACATTGTCAGCTGGGTGCAGAGGCATGTACCTGTAATCTCAGCTACTAGGGAGGCTGAAGCAGGAAGATTGAGTCCAGAAGTTTGAGGCCAGCCTGAGCAATATAGGGAGCCCCCATCTCAAAAAACAAAAATAAGTCTGGTCATGGTGGCTCATGCCTATAATCCCAACACTTTAGGAGGCTGAGATGGGAGGATCTCTTGAGCTCAGGAGTTTGAGAACAGCCTGGGCAACACAGTGACACCCCCATCTCTAGAAAAAAAAATTAGCCAGATATGGTGGATCACACCTGGGGTCCCAGCTACTCAGGAAGCTGAGGTGGGAGAATTGCTTTTGCCCAGGAGTTCAAGGCCACAGTAAGCCATGATTATGCTACTGCACTCCAGTCTGGGCAACAGAGCAAGACTCTGTCTCAAAAAAACCAAACCAAAACAAAAAATCCCCCCAAAACAAAAATAAGCATTGGCACTCAGAATTTTGTCAACGTATCTCCATTGCCTTTTATTTTTCAATGTCGCCATTTCTCTTAAAATTAAATACCATCCTATGCTAGCTTAGTGAGTATAGTATCTTATCTCTCTGAGAATATGAATTATAGTTTCTTTGAGATTTTCTTCTGCTCAGCCTCCCATGATTAAAATTCAATTAGAAATTGGAATATACTGTTGCTGTGTAGCCACAGGTCCCCACAGTAGAGGCACTTGAAATGATCTTCAAATTGTAGTGTCCACTATAATCCCTTGAGGAGTTTCTAAAAACTGTACATACACCTTCCCACACCCAGATGTGCTGGTGCAGCAGGTCTGGAACAGGGCTCGAGAATGCCCCTCTCAGCCAGCCCGCAAAGGCATTTCCACCTTAGTGGCTCCCTGGGAAGTAGCCCTGCCTTTGGATGTCTTGGGAATTAAGTCACATTGTCATTCTGCTTCTATCTCAAATTTGCAATTCACATCACCCTCCTGAGCCTCAGTTTTCTGACCCATGGAACAGAGAAAATATCCACCTGCCTTCCTCACCCCACATTATGTGGACTAATTGAGATGACTGAAAAAAAATCTCTGCAAACCACTCAGTCTTCTCAGGTTGTAAGGGAGGACTATGATGATTTGTGCTGTTGTACCAGCTGAGGACTCCACTGGGGTCCTACCATGTGTCCTACCATGTGATGCTACGAGAGGCACTCAGCTTCTCTGATTCTGAAAGGAAAAAAATGGATGTGGTGGTTTTTTACCCTGTCTGCCTATTAGAATCACCTGCCAATACCTGGGCCCACCTCCGGACATCCTGCTCTAAAAGGTCTGGAGTGGAACACAGGCATCAGCTTGTTTGAAGATGCTTCCTGAATGATTCTCACATGCAGCCAAGGCTGAACCATGGGCTAGGTGATCAGGAAGGCCTCTGTCAGCTCTAAAAATATTCCAACTCCTGCGGGGATTGTCAGGCCAGAGGCACAGATGGTAGTACCGGATGGGTTGGGGCTATCACAGCAGTTCTCAGCTTCCCCATTTCTGCTCAGTTCCAGCTGGACCCTCTCCCCAGCCAGCAGGGCCCCCAATTCGCTGTGGCAAGAGCAGCTCAGACTGTAAGAGGTCACAGCTGTGCACCTGGCAGACGGCCCCGACACACTGATCCTTGCAGCCTTCTGAGACATCAGCTGCGGGTGGGCTGGGGGGTCAGCTGTCTGGGGGCCAGCTTAGTGCTGAAGCATTTGCAAGCCTTGGGGAGTGGGGACTTCCAGCTAGGAGGTGCTGCATTTGAAAAAAAAACATCTAAAAAAGTTTTCCGGCTTCATTAAAAAACACATGATAATTATTAAAAATTTCAACAGCGGCCAGGTGCAGTGACTCACACCTGTAATCCCAGCAGTTTGGGAGGCCGGGGCAGGTGGATCACGAGGTCAGGAGATTGAGACCATCCTGGCCAACATGGTGAAACCCCGTTACTACTAAAAATACAAAAATTAGCCAGATGTGGTTGTGCACGCCTGTAGTCGCAGCTACTCAGGAGGCTGAGGGAGGAGAATCACTTGAACCCAGGAGGCGGAGTTGCAGTGAGCTGAGATCACGCCACTGCACTCCAGCATAGGCGACAGAGGGAGACTCCACCTCAAAAAAACACACAAAAAAACAAAAACACAAAGAAAACTTCAACAGCACAGAACAAGGTAAAAAAGGAACAACAAAAATATCACATGGTACACCACCATTTAGCAATAATCTGTTTACACTTGATAATATTTCCAAATGTCCGTGTATGTCATGGCCCTGACAGTTAACTTGTTGAGTGTTTACTCCAGGGCAGGCAAAAGCTAAGACTTGACTTCATGAAATTGCCACGGCACACAGGATGGCGGGGACTCCTATGACTCCCTTCCCACAGGTTGAAGAAATGGGGTGAGGAATCTGCGCAAGGTTACATCTGGAAGGTGCTGGACTTCAAGCCCAAATCTGTCCAGCTCCAATGTTCTAATACTAATTCCTACCAAGTGCTAAAGTAGTGGCAGGTCATATTATAGAAATTGTCATTCAAAAGAGTGAGTTCTGGGTCCTTTTTCACTTAATGTCTCCTGACCTTTCGCCAAAATCATTAAAATGCTTTCGTTTGTTTGTTTCACCAGTGATCAAAGAAAAGCAAATCAGCCAGATGCTGCGGCCCATGCCTGTAATCCCAGCACTTTGGGAGGCTAAGGAGGGAGAATCGCTTGAGCACAGGAGTTAGAGACCAGTCTAGGCAATATAGTGAGACCCCCGTCTCTACAAAAAATAAAACACTAGCCAGGTATGGTGGTGCGTGCCTATAGTCCCAGCTACTTGGGAGGCTGAGGCAGGAGGACTGCTTGAGCCCAGGAGATCAAGGCTGCAGCGAGCTATGATTGCATCACTGAACCCCAGCCTGGGTGACAGAGAAACCTGCTGTCTCAAGAAAAAAAAAAAGGAAAATATCATTTTTTCACATATCACATTGGCAACATTTTAACATAAAACAAGATGCATATGAAGAGTTTTAAATGAATGTTCAAATGCCTTGATTCAGTAATTCCATATCGAGGAACCTATTCTAAGAGACAGAGAGGTAGTGGAAGATTTATTTATAAAAATATTCATTGTGGCATTATTTAGAGCTGTGAAAATTGCTGTGGAAAATAATTTGAATGTATAACACGCAACTTCAGAAAATTATGCCAGCACAAAATATCATATTAGAAAGTATATTTAAGGCCGGGCGTGGTGGCTCACACCTGTCCCCAGCACTTTGGGAGACTGAGGCGGGCAGATCACCTGAGGTCAGGAGTTCAAGACCAGTCTGGCCAACATGGTGAAACCCTGTCTCTACAAAAAATACAAAAATTAGCCAGGTGTGGTGGCAGGCGCCTGTATTCCCAGCTACATGGGAGGCTGAGGCAGGAGAATCACTTGAACCTTGGAGGCGGATGTTGCCGTGAGCTGAGATCGTGCCATTGCACTCCAGCCTGGGTGACAAGAGCAAAACTCCATCTCAAAAAAAATATATATATATATATAGATATATATATATTTAATAGCACACAAAAATATTCCCAGGATATGTAAGGTGGAAAAAGTAGAATATGGTTCTGATTTGGTGACATTTGTAAAATAAATCCATATAAATTAAACAACATTTCAACATTTCAGTCTTCTTATTACCTAATAATGTGAAAAGGAAAGGGAAGCTTAGGGTATGCTTAGGATAGGTTGCATTCAAATATAGGTTTGTGGCATACTCACAATTCCCTTTGTAGTTGTGGCGGCCTGCCCAGAAATAGGCAGCTAAACAGGTTTCAGAAGAGATCTCCCTAAGGGCCAGAAGGGATCTGCCTCCCAAAGTGTTAAGATCCTGAGTCAGGGCAAAACAAAACAAACAAACAAAAAACGCACAAAACAAAAAAGGGTTTCAGACATGGGACCCAAAGCCACAGTGCCAAGTCCATAGGATCCAAATTACAGGTAACAATGTGCAAGCAAGTTGCTTCTCCTACCAGTAACCATGAGGCACAGCTCCCTGGTGTGTCGCAGAAGGCTGTGTTTACTTAACGATTGCTATGGCTTGAATGTGTCCCCCAAAAAGTATGTGTTGGAAATGTAATCCCCAGTGCAGCAGTATTGGGAGACGGGGCCCAATGGGAGCAGTTTAGATCATGAGGGCTCCACCCTTATGAATAGATTCATGCCAATTTTAAAAGAGCTTGAGACTGCAAATTCAATCTCTTGCCTTCTCTCACCATGCAATACCTTCAGTCATGTTATGACGCAGCAAGAAACCCTCGCCAGATGCATTCCTCAATCTTGGACTTCCCAGCCTCCAGAACCATGAACCAAATAAATTTCTGTTTGTTACAAATTAGCCAGTGTGTGGTATTCTGCTATCGCAGCACAAAACAGACTAAGACAACAATGGTTAGTGACATTCTGAGCAAGGCTGGGAGGCCACAGTTTGCAAATATGAATAGGAACAGCCTAGAAGGACAGTCCGGTATTACCAACACTTATCTCTGAGTGGTGGGATTAACCAATTATTTTTCACTTTTTACATTTCTGTGTTTTCTAAATTTTTTTGTCCTAAATACATGTGACTTTTTGAAAATTCTTATTAAGAAAAATGTCAAACATACCAAAAGTAAAGAGACTAAAAAAAATTAATCTTCCTCTGTCCATCACTAAGCTTTGGCTATTCTCAACATTCTGTCAAACCTGTTTTATCTCTCCACACTCCAATTTTGTTTTTTCTTCAGTATTTTGTTTTATTTTATTGGGACAGGGTCTCACTCTGCCACCCAGGCCAGAGTGCAGTGACACAACCATGGCTCACTGCAGCCTCGACCTCTCTGGCTCAAGCAATCCTCCCACCTCAGCCTCCCAAGTAGTTGGGACTACAGGCACATGTCACCATGCCCGGTTAATTATTTATTTATTTTTAGAGATAGGGTCTCACTATGTTGCCCAGTTTGGTCTTGAACTCCTGGCTTCAAGTGATCCTCCCTTGCCTCAGCCTCCCAAAGCTGTGGGATTATAGGCATGAGCCACTGTGCCTGGACTTTTCTTGAGTATTTAAAAACAAATCCTAATTTTTCCATGTTAGGCCAGTGAAGCCCCCTCAAGTTGTCTCATATGTCCTTTTCAAATGACTTCATTAGTCTTTGACAGTTTCTGTGCTTCCTGGCACAACAAAATATTCCTGCTAGTGGTAGATTTTTAAAAATGGTTACAAATCCCTCTCTTTCCTGTATGCAGGCTTCTTTGCAATATGACTTTGCAACTTAGAGTTGAATGGACTCTAGAACAATATGCAGCATGAGAAATGGGAGGATTTTGCTCCCCCAAAGTGCAATAAGGCCCTCTGTGTTTTTGTTTTTTGTTTTGTTTTGTTTTGTTTTTTAAGAAAGAAGGCAAAAGTTTATTTATAAACCATTTACCTGAGATAATCTCCATTCTTTTTCTTTTTTTTATTATTATTATACTTTAAGTTTTAGGGTACATGTGCACAATGTGCAGGTTAGTTACATATGTATACATGTGCCATGGTGGTGTGCTGCACCCATTAACTCGTCATTTAGCATTAGGTATATCTCCTAATGCTATCGCTCCCCCTTCCCCCCACCCCACAACAGTCCCCAGAGTGTGATGTTCCCCTTCCTGTGTCCATGTGTTCTCATTGTTCAATTCCCATCTATGAGTGAGAACATGCGGTGTTTGGTTTTTTGTCCTTGCGATAGTTTACTGAGAATGATGATTTCCAATTTCATCCATGTCCCTACAAAGGACATGAACTCATCATTTTTTATGGCTGCATAGTATTCCATGGTGTGTATGTGCCACATTTTCTTAATCCAGTCTATCATTGTTGGACATTTGGGTTGGTTCCAAGTCTTTGCTATTGTGAATAGTGCCGCAATAAACATACGTGTTCATGTTGTCTTTATAGCAGCATGATTTATGGTCCTTTGGGTATATATCCAGTAATGGGATGGCTGGGTCAAATGGTATTTCTAGTTCTAGATCCCTGAGGAATCGCCGCACTGACTTCCACAATGGTTGAACCAGTTTACCGTCCCACCAACAGTGTAAAAGTGTTCCTATTTCTCCACATCCTCTCCAGCACCTGTTGTTTCCTGACTTTTTAATGATTGCCATTCTAACTGGTGTGAGATGGTATCTCATTGTGGTTTTAATTTGCATTTCTCTGATGAATAAGGCCCTCTGTTAATGACATGTTACCTAATGTCAAAGAGGTTTTATGTAATACAGTAAAATTAACATCTTTATCCAGCCTCTCCCACCAAGACATATGGTTTATTTCTCCTACCTTTGAATCTGGACTTGGCCATGTACCTTGCTTTGGTCAGTGGAACGTTGTTGATAGTGCAGAGTAGCGCTGAGTTCATTTGGCTGAGGCCATTCTCAGTTTCGACACAAGATGGGGAGGCTGCTAATAGAGGACGAGCTCTGTATTGTGTGGAGGAGGATGGTAAGCTGGTGGCGTAAGCCCCAATCTGTATTAGTTATCTGTTGCTGCATAACAAATCACTCCAAAATTTACAACCAACAATTTATCTCATATTATGGTTTCTGTGGGACAGGAATTTGGTAGTTTAGGTGGGCAACTCTAGCTCAGGCTCTTGTAGGGTTGCAATCAGGATGTCATCTGGGGATTCAGTCACCTGAAGGCTTGACAGGGTCTGGTGGGGGTCTACCTCCAAGATGGCTCCCTTACTTTATTATTATTATTTTTTATTTTTTTAGTATTTATTGATCATTCTTGGGTGTTTCTCGGAGAGGGGGATTTGGCAGGGTCATAGGACAATAGTGGAGGGAAGGTCAGCAGATAAACATGTGAACAAAGGACCTTACTTTATTATTGGCAGAAGGTTTCAGTTCCTTGCCATGTGGGACTCTTCCTAGGGCTGCTTAAGTGTCCTGACATCTTGGTTTCTGGTTTTCCCCCAGGAGAGTGATCCAAGAGAGAGCGCATGGAGAAAGCCACAGTGCTTTCCTTTTCTTAGAGACAGGATATTGCTCTGTTGCAAAGACTGGAATGCAGTGGTGCAATCATTACTCACTGTAACCTCTAACTTCTGGGTTCCAGCCATCCTCCTGCCTCAGCCTCCCACCTCACTGGAACTACAGGCACGTGCCACCATGCCTGGCTAATTTTTAAAGTTTTTTGTACAGACAGGGTCTTGCTATATTTCCCAGGCTAGTCTCAAACTCCTGTCCAAAAGCGACCCTCCCGCCTTGGCCTCCCCAAGTGCTAGGATTACAGGTGTGAGCCCCTTGCACAGCTGCACATGCTCTGTATGTCCTGATCTTGAATATCACACACTGTCACTTCTGCCACATGCCATTCACTAAGCAAATCACTAGGGATAGCTCATGCTTGAGGGGATGAGGGAGTGGAAATGGGCTCCACTTTTTTTTTTTTTTTTTTTTTTTTGAGATGGAGTCTGGTTCTGTCACCTAGGCTGGAGTGCAGTGTCCTGATCTCAGCTTATTGCAACTTCCACCTCCCAAGTTCAAGTGATTCTCCTGCCTCAGCCTCCCTAGTAGTTGGGATTACAGGTGTGTGCCACCACGCCTGGCTAATTTTTTTGCATTTTTAGTAGAGACGGGGTTTCACCATGTTGGCCAGGCTGGTCTCGAACTCCTGGCCTCAGGTGATCCACCCGCCTCGGCCTCCCAAAGTGCTGGGATTACAGGCATGAGCCAGCTCCACCTTTTTTGTGGACATATTTTAGAACACCACACTCTCTTACTCAAATTTCCTTTCCCAGCTTCCTTACACACTGCCATTTTACTCACAAGGCAAACACGCCTTATCAGTTTAGTAGAAAATAAGAGGTAAAGTTTCATGCTAAAGATGGAATTTTTAGTGCTACAATGACAAGGACATCCATCCTTGTCATTTTGCAGTTACTGTAAACATTGCAAAATGTGAATTGCATATATTAGAAGTGATGCATACTGTGACACATTCATCATTTTTTCAATTTTCTCAGGTAGATATTTACCATACTCTTCCAGTTATATCCTCTTAGAACTAGCGTTTGTGTCTTACCAACATGTTTGATAGTCCAATATGCTGATTTTTGAAGATAGATGTAGTATAAAAAAGAAAAGGGGGATTCAAAGCCTAGGTTTACAGAAACTTCCCTTTTTTCCTTTTTCTTCTTTTTTTTTTTTTTTCCTTTCTTTTTTGTGATGGAGTCTCAATCCATCACCCAGGCTGGAGTGCAGTGGCATGATCTCGGTTCACTGCAACCTCCACACCCCAGGTTCAAGTGATTGTCCTGCCTCAGCCTCCCAAGTAGCCAGGATTATAGGCGTCTGCCACCACTCCTGGCTAATTTTTGTATTTTTAGTAGAGACGGGGTTCTACCACGTTGGCCAGGCTGGTCTCGATCTCCTGACCTCAGGTGACCCACCCACCTCAGCCTCCCAAAGTGCTGAGATTATAAGCATGAGCCACTACACTGGCATTTTTTTTTTTTTTTTAAGAGACAAGGTCTTGCTATGTTGCCCCCAGGCTGGTCTGTGGTCTGGAACTCCCAAGCTTAAGGTGTCTCGGCTTCCCAAGTAGCTGAGATTACAGGCACTCATCCCTGCACCTGGCTACGACACTTCTCAAATTAGCGATGAGAAATTTCAGTTTTCTGAGTCATTTCAATGCACTAGAGGACAATGGACACAAAAAAGTTCATCTACATAATTAAAGATATTTGTAAATGGGCTTTACATGGGCTTTGAGTTTTCTGTTCATTTGTGTGTCATCTGTGGTGAGCAACTTACACATTCAGCAACGGCTCCCACAAAAGTGAAAAGACACTCGACTACAAATCATAGTCATTTGACAAGTAAACGGGCTGATTATTGTAAGTAGTTACTGGAATCTTCAAACAGACTAAAGTTTTTAAAAGTCACAAGCAGAAAAAAGGCTCAGGAAAAAAATTATTTAGTAGCAGAATTATTGCCTAGGATAGGAAAAGTCATACAGTTAATGAGACACTAACAATGCCAGATGGAAACTTAGAGTTGAGCAGACTCTAGAACAATATGCAGCATGAGAAATGGGAGGATTTTGCTCCCCCAAGTGCAACAAGGCCCCCTGTTAATGACATTGTTACCTAATGCCAAAGAGGTTTTATGTAATACAGTAAAATTAACAACATCTTTATCCAGACTGAGTCAAGAGATGTCACCAATAAATATAATACCTTAACATTTGTAATATTTGTAAATTGCAATAAAATTCAAGATCACTTTTCCTCTGTAAAGAGGTGCCGCAAAATCCATCAAGAAAATGTAGCAATTACACACATATATGCAGCTAACAACAGAAATGCAAAATATGTGAAGCCAAAAAATGAAAGAATTGAAGAGAGAAATAGACAATTTGACAATAATAGTTGAAGACTTATATGCTTCATTTTCAATAATGGGTAGAACAACTAGACAGAAGGTCGACAAGGAAATAGAAGACTTGAACAGCGCTAGAAACAAACTAGACTTAACAGACATCTACAGAACACTTCACCCAGCAAAAGTGGAATCAAAATTTTTAAGTGCACATGGAACACTCTAAAGATAGATCATATGACAGGTCATAAAACAAACCTCAATAAATTTAAAAGGACAGAAATAATACAAATTATGTTCTCCAATTACAATTAAATGGAAATAGAAATCAATGGAGAGAAATTCGGTATATCCACAAATAGGTGGAATTTTTTTTTAATTACTGACTTGAAGCTCATATAGGTGGAAATTAAACAACACACTTCCAAATAACGATTTAGTCAAGAAAGAATTTTTTTTTTTTTTTTTTTTTGAGACAGAGTCTCGCTCTGTCATCCAGGCTGGAGTGCAATGGCGTGATCTTGGCTCACTGCAACCTCCGCCTCTCAGGTTCAAGCAATTCTCCTGTCTCAGCCTCCGAAGTAGCTGGGACTACAGGTGCCCACTACCACGCCTGGCTAATTTTTGTATTTTCAGTAGAGATGGGTTTTCACCATATTGGTCAGGCTGGTCTCAAACTTTTGACCTCAGGTGATCCACCTGCCTCGGCCTCCCAAAGTGCTGGGATTACAGGCATGAGCCACTGCGCCTGGCTAAGAAAGAAATTTTTAAGGCTGGGCGCAGTGGCTCACACCTGTAATCCCAGCACTTTGGGAGGCCAAGGCAGGTGGATCATGAGGTCAGGAGTTCGAGACCACTCTGGCCAACATAGTGAAACTCTGTCTCTACTAAAAATAAAAAAAATTAGGCCGGCATGGTGATGTGCACCTGTAATCCCAGCTACTCAGGAGACTGAGGCAGGAGAATCACTTGCACCCAGGAGGCAGAGGTTGCAGTGAGCCAAGATCGCGCCACAGCACTCCAGCCTGGGTAACAGAACGAGACTCCGTCTCAAAAAAAAAAGAAATTTTTAAAAATCAGAAAATACTTTGAGGCAAATGAAAATGAAGACACACATACCAAAAGTTATGGGATGCAGCAATAGCAGTGCTTACAGGGAAATTTATAGCTGTAAATATCTACATAAAAGAAGAAGAAAGGTCTCAAATAAATAATTAAATCTTCTACATTAAAGAACTAGAAAGGGGTCAGGCATGATGGCTCATGCCAGTAATCCCAGCGCTTTGGGAGGCTAAGGCAGGAGGATTGCTTGAGCCCAGGAGTTCGAAAGCAGTCTGGGCAACGTGGCAAAACTCCATCTCTACAAAAAATACAAAAATTAGCTGAGTGAGATGGCACGCACCTGTAGTCCCAGCTACTCAGGAGACTGAGGTGAGAGGATCACCTGAGCCCAGGGAGGTTGAGGCTGCAGTGAGCCATGATTGCACTACTGCACTCTAGCCTGGGAGACAGAGTGAGACCCTGTCTCAAAAGAAAAAGAAAAGTAAATTAGAAAGAGAAGAGCAAACTAAATCCAAAGCAAATGGAAAAAAGAAATTAACAAAGATTAGAACGGAGATACATGTAATAGAGAATAGAGAAACAACAGAGAAAATCAACAAAATCAAAAGTTGGTTTTTTGAAAAGATCAATGAAATTGACAATATTTAGCTAGACTAACCAAGAAAAAAAAAAAAGAGAAGACTCAAGCTACTGAAATCAGTAAAGAGGAAATTTACTACCAACCTTACGTAAATAAAAAGGATTATAAGAGGCCAGGTGCGGTGGCTCACACCTGTAATCCCAGCACTTTGGGAGGCTGAGGTGGGCTGATCACGAGGTCGAGAGATCGAGATCATCCTGGCCAACATGGTGAAACCCCGTCTCTACTAAAAATACAAAAATTAGCTGGGCGTGGTGGCACGTGCCTGTAGTCCCAGCTACTCAGGAGGCTGAGGCAGGAGAATCTCTTGAACCTGGGAGGTGGAGGTTGCAGTGAGCCAAAATCATGCCACTGCACTCCAGCCTGGCGAAAGAGCAAGACTCTGTCTCAAAAAAAAAAAAAAAAAAAAAAAGGATTGTAAGAGACTACTGACCAGGCTCACACCTGTAATCCTAATGAATTGCTTGAGACCAGGAGTTTGAGACCAGCCTGGGCTACATAGAGAGACTCCATCTTTTTTTTAAAAAGTTCTTCTCACGCCTGTAATCCCAGCACTTTGGGAGGCCGAGGCGGGCGGATCACGAGGTCAGGAGATCGAGACCATCCTGGCTAACACGGTGAAACCCCGTCTCTACTAAAAATACAAAAAATTAGCCGGGCGTGGTGGCGGGCGCCTGTAGTCCCAGCTACTCGGGAGGCTGAGGCAGGAGAATGGCGTGAACCCGGGAGGCGGAGCTTGCAGTGAGCCGAGATCGCGCCACTGCACTCCAGCCTGGGCGACAGAGCGAGACTCCGTCTCAAAAAAAAAAAAAAAAAAAAAAAAAAAAAAAAAAAGTTCTTTAACTAGCTGGGCATAGTAGGATGCCCATAATCCTAGCTATTTGGGAGACTGAAGTGGGAGGATTTCTTGAGCCCAGGAGTTCAAGATCACAGTGAGCTATGATCATGCCACTGCACTCCAGCTTCGGTGAGAGAGTGAGACCTTGTCTCTAAAAAAAAAAAAAGAAAGAAAGTAAAGAGAGAAAAGAAAAGGAAAGGAAAGAAAGAAAAAAGTATGTCAACAAACTGGATAACTTAGATGAACAAATTCTTAGATAGACAAAAACTACAAAAATTACCTCGAAAGGAATAGAAAATCTGAATATATTTATAACAAGCAAAGAAACTGAGTCATTAATCTAAAAACATTCAACAAAGAAAAGCTACCAGATGGTTTCACTGATGAATCCCACCAAATGTTTGAAGAACTAACACCGACCCTTCTCAAACTCTTCCAAAAAATAGAAGAGGATGGAATACTTCCTAACCCATTCTATGAGGCCAGTAGTACCCTGATACCAAAGCCAGACAAAGACATCACAAGAAAACTATAAACCAATATCCCTATGCATATAGACACAAAGATCCACAACAAAACACTAGCAAACAAAAGTTTGCAACGTATAAAAAGTTTTATACACCATGACCAGGTGAGATTTATCTCAAGGATGGAAGGTAGGTTCAATATATGAAAATCGATTAATATACTACATCATATCAATAAAATAAAGGACAAAAACTATGCGATCATCTCAATACAATTAGGAAAAGCACTGGACAAAATCTAACACCCTTTCGTGACAAAACATACTTAATAAATTAGAAATGGAAGGGAATTCTCAACCTGATAAGGGGCATCTCTGAAAAACCCATAGTTAATAGCATAATTAACGGTGAAAGACTAGATGCTTTCCCCCTAAGGTCAGGAGCAAGACAAGGATGTTCACCAATTGTAGTCAGCATAGTACTGGAGGATCCAACCAGGGCAATTAGGCTACAATATGTAATAAAAGCCATCAGGATGAAAAGGTAGAAGTAAAGCTATCTTGATTTGCAAATCTTATATATAGAAAATCGTAAGGAATCTAGTAAAAAAATTATTAGAACTTGCCCAGGAGCGGTGGCTCATGCCTGTAATCCCAGCACTTTGGGAGGCCGAGGCTGGTGGATCATGAGGTCAGGCGGTCGAGACCATGGTGAAACCCCGTCTCTGCTAAAAATACCAAAAGAAAAAATAATTAGCCGGGCGCGGTGGCAGGTGCCTGTAGTCCCAGCTACTCAGGAGGCTGAGGCAGGAGAATGGCGTGAACCGGAGAGGCGGAGCTTGCAGTGAGCCGAGATAGCACCACCGCACTCCAGCCTGGGCAATGGAGCGAGACTCCGTCTTAAAAAACAAACAAACAAACAAAAAATTATTAGAACTAATGCATTCAGCAAGATCACAAGATGTAAGATCAATATACAAAAATTAATTATATTTCTACACATTTGTGAAGAACAATCTGAAAATGAAATTAGGAAAACCATTTCATCTATGATATCATCAAAAAGAATAAAATCCTGGGAATATAGTTAACTAAAGAAGCATAAAATTTATACTCTGGAAACTATGAAAATATTCATGAAAGAAATGAACAAATCCTAAATAAAAAGAAAAGTATTACACGTTCATGGATTAAAAGACAATTTTTTTTCTCTTGGTGGTCATATTTATTGAAAGAGCTTGAGAGAAATGAAAATACCATTTAGCTTAGTTATGAGTCATCTGCAAATCAACTCATTTCAGGAGTGGAAGAATCCCCAGAATTATTTCTTTTTTTATTTCATTTTTCTTTTTTTTTTTGAGATGGAGTCTCACTCTGTCGCCCAGGCTGGAGTGCAGTGGCACAATCTCGGCTCACTGCAAGCTCCGCCTCCCGGGTTTACGCCATTCTCCCGCCTCAGCCTCCCGAGTAGCTGGGACTACAGGCGCCCGCCACCGCGCCCGGCTAATTTTTTGTATTTTTAGTAGAGACGGGGTTTCACCATGTTAGCCAGGATGGTGTCGATATCCTGACCTTGTGATCCGCCCGCCTCGGCCTCCCAAAGTGCTGGGATTACAGGCGTGAGCCACCACGCCCGGCCTCAGAATTATTTCTTAATATCAAAATGTATGCAGGATTCTCTTTTGAATGTCTTGTACATTTAGAGAGGCCACTGTGCAAAGTCTCCTATTTTCCATACAGGACAAATTCTTTGTTTCAGCCAACTCTCAGTGGAGGGGCAACCAGGACAACGACATCTCCCTGGACAAAAAGCATTGGAATATTCCATTTCATTGGTTTATATATCTCTTCATATGTTTCTTCATCAATTTCTATAGTAGTCACAGTTTCTTCCATGTCTCCCAAGATCATATTTAAATGTTGATCATAAGCATGGTAATCTGCCTCGAAGCTCTCGGTCATTTCTCATTTTCACATAAATTCTCTCACCTAGGCTGAGCCTGATAAAATCCAGGGGCTCCTCTACAGTGTTGGTAGTTTGTTGCTGGTCTACTTCGTCCGCCATGTTTCCAGAAGACGTAAATATTTTAAAATTTATTTATTTATTTATTGAGATGGTGTTTCACTCTTGTCACCCAGGCTGGAGTGCAATGGCACAATCTCAGCTCACTCCAACCTCTCCCTCCTGGATTCAAGCCATTCTCCTGCCTCAGCCTCCAGAGTAGCTGGGATTACAAGCACCCAGAACCACACCCGCCAATTTTTGTATTTTCAGTAGAGATGAGGTTTCACCATGTTGCCCAGGCTTGTCTTGAACTCCTGACCTCAAGTAATCCACCCACCTTGGCCTCCCAAAGTGCTGGGATTACAGTCATGAGCCACCACATCCAGCCTATTTATTTATTTTTACCATAAGGCTTTTTTGTGAATACTTAATATTGTTAAGATGGCAATACTCTCCAAATTGATTTACAGATTACATCAATTCTTATCAAAATCTCAGCTGACTTCTTTGAAGAAATTGACAGGCTGATTCTCAAGTTTATTTGGAATTGAAAGGAACTCCAAATAGCCAAAATAATCTTGAAAAGGAAGAACAAAGTTAGAGGACTCACATTTCCTTATTTCAAAACTTAATACAAAGCAGCAACAATCAAGATAATGTGGTACTAGCATAAGGACAGATATATTGATCAACGGAATAGAATTGAGAGTCCAAGAATAAAACCATGTGTCTACAGTCAACTAATTTTTGACAAAGATGTCAAGATCATTCAATGGGAAAAAAATTGTCTTTTCAACAAATGATGCTGAGACAACTGGTAGCCATATGCAAAAGAATGAAGTTGGCTTCTTACCATATAAAAAAATTAATTCAAAACGAATATAAGACCTAAGTGTAAGAGTTAAACTATAAAAGTCTTGGAAGAAAACATGAAAGTATTGGAAGAAAAATATTGATTACCTTATATTTGGCAATGGATATTTAGATATGATACCAGTAGCGCAAGTAACCAAGGAAAAAAGAGATAAATTGGTCTTGATCAGTATTAGAAACCTTTGTGCTTCAAAGGACACTATCAAGAAAGTGATAAGACAACCCACAGAATGGGAGAAAATTTTATAAATCACATCGCTAATAAGGGATTTATAGCTAAACACATAAAAGACATAAACAACACAACTCACACTCAATAAAATACAGATAATTAAATTTTAACATGGGAAAACCACAACTAGGTGAACGGACTTAGCGCTATTGAACTGTATATGTAAAAGGACTAAGATGGTAAATTTTATGTTATGTATATTTTACCAGAATTTTTTTAAAGTTTTTTTAGGCCAGATGGGATGGCTCACGCCCATAATCCCGGCATTTTCGGAGGCCAAGATGGGAACCCAGGAATTTGAGACCAGCCTGGGGAAAATAGCAGGACTCCATCTCTACGAAAAATTTGAAAATTAGCCCGGCATGGTGGTACATGCCTGTAGTCCTAGCTATTCAGGAGGCTGAGGCAGGAGGACTGCTTGAGCCCAGGAGTTCGAGGCTGCAGTGAGCTACAATTGCACCACTGCACCCCAGCCTGGGTGACACAGCAAGACCTCATCTCTGGAAAAAAAAATTTTTTTAATGGGCAAATGTTCAAAACAGACATTTCTCCAAAGAAGAAACAGAAATGGTCAATGAGCACATGAAAAGATACTCAACATTATTAGTTGTCAGGGAAATCCAAATCAAAACCACAGTGAGATACCACTTCACACCCACTAGTATGGTTATAATGAAAAAGATAGTAACAAGTGTTACTGAGGATGTGGAGAAATCAGAACCCTCATATACTGCTGGTGGTAACGCAAAATGGTACAGCTGCTTTGGAAAACAGTTTAGCACTTCCTCAAATGATTAATTATAAAGTTAACATATGATCTAGCAAATCTACTCC
The DNA here is from genome assembly GCF_000001405.40 of Homo sapiens. Classification (NCBI taxonomy): domain Eukaryota; kingdom Metazoa; phylum Chordata; class Mammalia; order Primates; family Hominidae; genus Homo; species Homo sapiens. The sequence continues at coordinate 30,760 of NW_025791763.1, forward strand.
TAGGTGTACCCCTGGAAGAATTTAAAACATATGTCTACATAAAAACTTTTACACAAATGTTTATAGCTTCCGTATTTATAATAGCCAAAAAGTAGAAACAACTCAAATGTCTGTCAACTCACAAATCTGTAAAGAAAATGTAGAATGATATATCCAATCAATGAACTGTTTTTTGGCCATAAGAAGGAATGAAGTAATGGCACAGGCTACAACGTGAATGAACCTGAAAACGTTATGATATTTCTCATAATGATACTGTAATCATTTTATATGATTCTATTTAAGAGATTAGTGGTTTTCCTGGGCTGGGATGCATGGGGGAGAGAGGGGGTCACAGCTGAAGGGTATAGGGTTCATTTTTGAGGTGATGAAAATGTTCTAAAATAGACTCTGGTGGGCCAGGCACGGTGGCTCACGCCTGCAATCCCAGCACTTTGGGAGGCCGAGGCAGATGGATCATGAGGCCAAGGGTTCGAGACCATCCTGGCCAACATGGTGAAACCCCGTCTCTACTAAAAATACAAAAATTAGCCAGGTGTGGTGGCATGCGCCTGTAGTCCCAGCTACTCGGGAGGCTGAGGCAGGAGAATTGCTTGAACCCAGGAGGTGGAGGTTGCAGTGAGCCAAGATCGAGCCACTGCACTCCAGCCTGGTGGCAGAGCCAGACTCTGTCTGGAAAAAAAAAAAAAAAATTGACTCTGGTGATGGTTGCACATTTCTGCGAATATACTAAAAACCACTGAACTTTATACTTTCAAGCAGTGGATTGTACGGTATGTGAATTATATCCTGATAAAGCTGTTTAAAATTTTTATGAAAAGGAAAGAAATAGATTAATTTCAATAAAGGTTAAACTAAGCTTAATATTTTTCAAGAAAGTTTGGTTAAAAAGTCATTTTTAGTTTTTAGTGGGGATGAAACATGCACTATATATCACAGTTGATCAACATCTTGTGTAGTAGAAATTTGTAATAAGGCTTTGGATTTTTTTGGATAAAGTAAAATAAGGAAGACATTTTTAAAATGAAAAGGTTTCTTTACCTATACTATTGATTTGCATGGGAGTTGACATCCTTTGTGGATTGGAGGGACCACACAAAAAGTGTGTGCTAATAAGTTCAGCAAAATGCACAACTCACAGGGGAAAAAAAAAAAATTCTCGACCAGGTGCGGTGGCTCACGTCTGTAATCCTAGCATTTTGGGAGGCCAAGGTGAGTGGATCACCTGAGGTCGGGAGTTCAAGACCAGCCTGACCAACAAGGAGAAATGCCGTCTCTGCTAAAAATACAAAATTAGCTGGGCGTGGTGGCGCATGCCTGTAATCCCAGCTACTTGGGAGGCTGAGGCAGGAGAATCACTTGAACCAGGGAGGTGGAGGTTGCGGTGAGCCAAGATTGTGCCACTGCACTCCAGCTTGGGAGACAGAGCGAAACTCCATCTCAAAAAAAAAAAAAGAAAAAGAAAAGAAAAAAATTCTCTTCTCAAAATGGCATTACTGATTTATTATTGAATGATTATATCTACATCTTAATAATCACACTAATATACCATGAGCTGTAGGTATAATTTTTATGCAGGGGTTCTCTGAGACCTAAAAATCATTTCAAGAGTTGTTCTAAGCAGTACGGTGGCTCACGCTTGTAATCCCAGCACTTTGGGAGGCCGAAGTGGGAGGATCACTTGAGCCCAAGCGTTTGAGACCAGCCTATGCAGTTTAGTGAGACCTCATCTCTACAAAAAATACAAAAATTAGCTGGGCATGGTGGTGCATGCCTGCAGTCCCATCTACTCAGGAGGCTGAGGTGGGAGGATTTCTGAAGTCCAGGAGGTCCAGGCTGCAGTGAGTTCAACTGCAGTGCCACACTGAACTCCAGCCTGGGTGGCAGAGTGAGTCCCCGTCTAAGCAAAAAAAAAAAAAAGGAGTTCCCCTGGAGTGAAAAGATTGGGAAAGACTGCTCTATAGGCAACCGTTTCTGCTTTCATTATTTATGAAAATATAATTTTAATATATAATTTATATATTCATATTTCCACACTTTTCTTACCCAAAGAATGGCACACTATGCACTGTTCTGCCCCTTGCTTTTTTCCATTTAGCCATATTTTCTGGAATCCATGGAGGTAGATAGGGGTTCTTCTCATTGCTTTTTACATCTGTATAGGACTCCACTGTATAGCTGCGACATTCAACCAGTCCCCAAACACCATTTTTGTTATTTCCAGTCTTTTATTGACACAAATAGTGCTGCAATGAATTGTCTTGTTTGTATGCCATTTACTGGTTTTGCTAGTGCGTCTTGGGATAGATTCCTAGAAGTAGGATTGCTAAATCAAAGTGTAAATGCATATTCTGTTTCATTAGACATTGCCAAGTTGCCTTCCACAAAGATTATATCATCCTGCATTCCATAAGCAATGTATAACAGAGCCTGACTCCCTATATCTCAACATCAGAGTATGTTGTCAAACTTTTGGAGTTTTGCCAATCTGATAGGGGAGAAATATCTCAGGATGATTTTACTTTGCACTTCTGGCCAGGCGCAGTGGCTGGTGCCTGTAATCCCGGCACTTTGGGAGGCCGAAGCAGGCGGATCACTTGAGGTCGGGAGTTGGAGACCAGCCTGGCCAACATGGTGAAACCCGGTCTCTACTAAAAATACAAAAATAAAATAAAATAAAATAAAATAAAATAAAATAAAATAAAATTAGCCAGGCATGGTGGCACGCGCCTGTAATCCCAGCTACTTGGGAGGCTGAGGCAGGAGAATCACTTGAACCCGGGAGGCGGAGGTTGCAGTGAGCTGAGATCATGCCACTTCTCTCCAGCCTGGGTGACAGAGCCAGACTCTCTCTCAAAAAAAAAATAAAAAACTGCACTTTCCTCATCATGTAAAAGGCTGACCATCTTTGCTATTTGCCTTTCTTTTAGAGACAGGATCTCTACCGTCACCTAGGCTGGAGTGCAGTGGAGTGATTATAGCTCACTGCAACCTGGACCTTCTGGGCTCAAGCAATCCTCCAATCTCAGCCTCCCGAGTAGCTGGGACTACAGGCATGTGCCACTGCATCTGGCTAATGTTTTTATTTTTATTTTTTGTAGAGAGTGGGTCTCACTATGTTGCCCAGGCTGATCTTGAACTCCTGGCCTCAAGCTATCCTCCCATCTCAGCCCTCTCAAAGGACTGAGATTACATGAATGAGCCACTGATCCCGGCCTCTTTTTTTCACTCTCTATGTTCATATATTTTGCCCTTTCTCCTTCCTCATGATTCTAAAAATCATGAACTCTTTGTATGTTAGGAGTATTAGTGTGTTATGACTTGTCAATACCTTTTGACAGTTTGTTAATTTCTTTTAAATATTTTAGGTCTTCCTCTCTCTCTCTCCCTTCTTCTCTCATGTTTGCAAATAATATTTACATTTATATAGTAACAGTTATCAGTCTTTTCTCTATAGCTTCTGCTTTTAAAGTTATAAATGTTTTCCCACTCCCAGTTTAAAAAGACACATTCAGTTTTTCTTCTAGTATTTGTGTTTTCATTTTTCATATTTAGATCTCTTACCCATTTGCCATTTATTCTGGTATATGAGAAGAATGAAGCTGATGTTATATTTTTCCATATAGGTACACGGTTGCAGTTGTCTCAATACCGTTTATTTAAAAGTTTGGCTCGCCGGGCGCGGTGGCTCACGCCTGTAATCCCAGCACTTTGGGAGGCCGAGGCGGGTGGATTATGAGGTCAGGAGATCGAGACCATCCTGGCTAACAAGGTGAAACCCCGTCTCTACTAAAAATACAAAAAATTAGCCGGGCGCGGTGGCGGGCGCCTGTAGTCCCAGCTACTCGGGAGGCTGAGGCAGGAGAATGGCGTGAACCCGGGAAGCGGAGCTTGCAGTGAGCCGAGATTGCGCCACTGCAGTCCGCAGTCCGGCCTGGGCGACAGAACGAGACTCCGTCTCAAAAAAAAAAAAAAAAAAAAAAGTTTGGCTCTTCCCCACTGCTTCGAGATGCATCCTTTCATTGATCTGTCTATTCATATATCAACACTATACTCTTTTAATTACAGAAACTTTATAACATTTTAACGTCGTGGAGGGCTAGCCTCCCTATGTATCTCTTTCTTAAAGAATTATTACTTGTTTATTCTTTTTTTTTTTTTTTTTTTTTTTTGGACACAGGGTCTTGCTTTGTCACCCAGGCTGGAGTACAGCGGCATGATCTTGACTCACCGCAACCACTGCCTCCCAGGTTCAAACGGTCCTCCCACTTCAGCCTCCCAAGGAGCTGGGACTACAGGCATGTGCCATCCTGCCCAGCTAATTTTTGTATTTTTGTAGAGATGGGGTCTCACTGTGTTGCTCAGGCTAGTGTTTATTCTTTTTAAAAAAATCTTTATATAAAAAACTTGTAAGACTACAAAATTATCAAAACCTCATGGTAATTTCCACTGGGATTATGATTAATATATCATTTAATTTAGGGAGAACTGACATCTTTATGACAGAATCTTCCTATCCAAGAACACGGTATGTCTTTCCATTTGTTTAAGTCCACTTTTGTGTCTTCCATGTGTGTTTCATAGTTTTTACTCATATAGGTTTTGCACATTTCTTTTGGTCTACAGCAAATATTTTACTTTATTGTTGCTATTTTAAGTGGATCTTCTCTCTCATCTCTCATTATATTTCCTGTTCTTTTTATTTTTATTTTTATTTTGAGACATAGTTTCACTCTGTCGCCCAGGCTGGAGTGCAGTGGTGTGATCTCGGCTCACTGCAACCTCCACCTCCTGCATTCAAGCGATTCTTGTGCCTCAGCCTCCCGAGTAGCTGGGATTACAGGCGCCTGCCACCACAGCCAGCTAATTTTGTATTTTTAGTAGAGATGGGGTTTCACCATGTTGGCCAGGCAGGTCTCCAACTCCTGACCTCAAGTGATCCACCCACCTGGGCCTCCCAAAGTGCTGGGATTACAGGCATGAGTCACTCACAGCACCAGGCCTTCTCTCATTATATTTCCTAATTACTTACTGTTTGTATATATGCAGATGATTTCTACATGGTGAATTTATTTATTTATTTATTTTTTGATGGAGTTTTGCTCTTATCGCCAGACTAAAGTGCAATGGCATGATCTCGGCTCACTGCAAGCTCCACCTCCTGGGTTCAAACAATTCTCCTGCCTCAGCCTCCCGAGTAGCTGGGATTATAGGCATGCACCACCACACCTGGCTAATTTTGTATTTTAAGTAGAGACAGGGTTTCTCCATGTTGGTCAGGTTGGTCTCAAACTCTTGTCCTCAGGTGATCTGCCTGCCTCAGCCTCCCAAAGTGCTGGGATTAAAGACGTGAGCCACCACGCCCGGCCCATGTTGATTTTTATATCCAGTTACTTTACTTAGTTTGCTTATTGTTTGTGAGAGTTTTTCTTTCCATCCTTTTGGGTGTTCCAACTAAACAATTATGTTGTCTATAAATAGAGATTGCTTTATCTGTTTCTTTTCTTTTTTCTTTTTTTTTTTTTTTTTTGAGACGGAGTCTTGGTCTGTCGCCCAGGCTGGAGTGCAGTGGCGTGATCTCTGCTCACTGCAAGCTCTGCCTTCCGGGTTCACGCCATTCTCTTGCCTCAGCCTCCTAAGTAGCTCGGACTACAGGCGCCCACCACCACGCCCAGCTAATTTTTTTTATTTTTAGTAGAGACAGGGTTTCACCGTGTTAGCCAGGATGGTCTCTATCTCCTGACTTTGTGATCCGCCTGCCTCGGCCTCCCAAAGTGCTGGGATTACAGGTGTGAGCCATCGCGCCCGGCCTCTTTCTTTTCAATTACTGTGTCTCTTGTCTGATATGATTTCCCTTGTATAATTTGCTTTAGCTAATACTTCCAACATAATGTTCAATTGTAGAGGAGATAGTAGACATTATTCCTCACTTCAGCAATTTTTTTTGAGACAGAGTCTTACTTTGTCGCCAGGCTGTAGTGCAGTGGCACCATCTTGGCTCACTGCAGCCTCTGCCTCCTGGGTTCAAGCAAAATCTCCTTCCTCAGCCTCCTGAGCAGCTGGGACTACAGGCACATGCCACCATGCTGAGCTTATTTTTATATTTTTATTAGAGACATTTTCACCATGTTGGCCAGGCTGGTCTTGAACTCCTGACCTCAAGTGATCTGCCCACTTTAGCCTCCCAAAGTGCTGGGATTACAGGTGTGAGCCACCACACCCAGCCAGCATTTTTAAATTAAGATAAGAGGCTAACTCTTGAGGAGTTTTACATAGATATAATCAGGTTTGAATTGTGTCATGTGCCTTTTCACATTATCGTTGAGTTCCCCTGAAAACAGATGAAGAATTTTCTGCATATTGTTTATGTGGGAAGGTGAGCCCAGAGAACAAGCATGAGAAATAAGGAGGAATGAAACAGGGAAAGCCAATGCAAGATGCACTGACCAATTGGCTGGCGTTATAGGTAACCAGTGCTTGATTCTGTGGAGTCATCTGAGGAGTCTTATGAAATGTGCTTCAGAACTGTTTGCCAGGTAATGAAAAGCTAGCTTTGATCAAGATACCTCACATATAAGGGTTGACCATATATGAATGCTGAGAGGGTTCCTGCTGGTATCAATGGCACTGTGTCAGAGAAGTCTTGGGGCAGGAAATAAGCATTCATTATCTTATAGCTTCTGTGGGTCAGGAATGTAGGAATGTCTTAGCTTGATGGTTCTGGCTCAGGATTTCTAATGTGGTTGCAGTTAGGACATCTACAGGTCCTGCGGTTATCTGAAGGCTTAATTGGGGCTAGAGAATTCACTTCCAATTGACTCATTCATATGCTTGTTGGCAGGAAGCCTCAGTTCCTCATCAGGCGGACCTCTCCATTGGTTGCTGGAGTGTCCTCACAATATGGCAGCCAACTTTCCCCAGAGCCAGTGATCTACAAGGGGATGGGAATTAGACTCCACCTCTTGAAGGGAGGAACATCAAAGAATTTGTGGACATATTTTAAATCCAGCAAACTGTCATAATATAGTCCAAATAGATCTTGACTATCTGAACATCCTGAAGAATATCACATTGGTCCATTTTGTCAATAACATGATGTTTATCGACCACATGAGTAAGAAGTGGCAAGTAAGTTGAAGCCTTGGTAAGATACACATTTTCCAAAGAATGAGCAATAAATGATAAATCTTAGGAAGATTCTGGGTCCTACCAGATCCGTGACATGTTTAGGGATCCACTGAGATGGAAGCATGATACTCGTTAGCCTCTTTGGGTTCTGGAGATGGTATGTTTCATACTGGGGAAAACTACTCTGACTCATTTACTGAATCACATGGAAGGCTGACAACTTTGAGTGGTGTCCAGAGTAAGGAAAGGCTCTACAGCTGGTTCATGCTGCATTACAAGCAACCCTGCCACTTAGGCCAGGTGACCCAGGAGACTTTGTGATATTAGAGCTTTCTGGGGTGTAAAAACACCTGTAGGAATGTATGGGAAACCCCAGACAGCTACATGCCACTCAATAAATAGTTCCTGGCATACTCCTGGGTCATGGTAGAGACGAATCAGCTGACTATGAGACATCAAGTGGCCTGTGGTTAGAACTGCCCATCCTGAGCTGGTTTCTGTCAGACCCATCAAGTCATAATGCTGAGCGGGTCCAGCAGCAGCCCATTATAAAACTGCAGTAGTGTGTCAGGATTGGGTATCAAGTAGAGCCAGAGGCTAAAAGTAAGCCACTAGCCACATGTCATCCTGTCATCCAGTACTGTTGCATGGATGCCTTTCCCTGGATTCCATTTACATCCACATAGAAAGTATTATGACCAACTGATGGAGGAAGCAAAGGACAAGCTTGATTCTTGGACGCACTAGCTTGATTTGTGGATATAAACCAAAAGCAGACTGGTGATACAGTGCTGTCTCACTCAGGGTGCCCCTGAAAGCATGTTGAGATAAAATCCTCCCATGGTCAGAGCTTTGGGAAGTACATCTGGTCTTCTACTTTATGTGGAAAGAGAAGTACCCCAAGATGAAAATATACACAGACGTGAAGGCAGTGGCAAATGGCTTAACTGAACAAGGACCTGAAAGGAACAAGATTGGAATACTGGGGACAATATTGGAAAGAAGCATGTAAATCAAGAATCTGCAAACTTTTTGTATAAAGGGTCAGAGTAACTATTTCAGACTCAAGGGCCATATGGTTTCTGTTGCAACTGCACAGCTCTGCTGTTGTAGTGTAAAAGCAGCCATATTCAACACATAAATAAGTGGCATGGCTGTGTTCCCATAAAACTTTATTCATAAAACAGGCAGTGGGTGAATTTGCCCTGTGAGTTTTAGTTGCCAACCCTTGGTAGAGATGGACCCAAAGAAGTGGGCAAAAAAAAAATGTGAATGTCTTTTTCTGCATTTCATTGACCACATGACAGCATCCACCAACAAAAGACTGACTGGACAACCAAATAGACAGGATGACTCAACTAGTTGATGTTAGCTACCCTCTGTTATCACTCACCACAGTTCTGGCCAGATCACCTCACAAATGGGGTAGTCATATGGCAAGGTTGGAGGCTATGAATGGCACAAAAGTATGAGTTCCTACTTACTAAAGCTGGTATAATTACTTTTGCCATGCAGTGCCCAACCTGCCAGCAGCAGAGGCCAATGCTGAGTCCCCAGCACGGTATCATTCTTTGAGGAGACCAACCACCCACTTTCTGCCAAGATGATTACCAGGCCCTTTCCACTCTAGAAGGAGAATTGCTTCATCTTGACTGGAATTAACACATGTTCTAGATATAGTCTTACCTTTTCTGCCTGCAGGGCCTTGGACAACACTCTGAGAACTCACAGAGTGATCTACCGGTATGGAATTCTGAATAGCATTGCCTCTGACCAAGAAACCCAACTTACAGCAAGAGAGTGTGGCAATGGCCACATGACAATGGGATCCACCAGTCCCATCATATACCACATCACTCAGAAGCTTCTGGACTCAATAAAGTGAGGAAATAGCCTTTGGAAACTGTAGACAAGATACCAGGTTAGAAATGATACTCGACTGGGCACAGTGGCTCAGGCTGGGCGCAGTGGCTCATGCCTGTAATCCCAGCACACTGGGAGGCCAAAGCAGGCGGATCACAAGGTCAGTAGTTCAAGACCAGCTTGGCCAATATGGCGAAACCTCATCTCTACTGAAAATACAAGAATTAGCCAGGCGTGGTGGCAGGTGCCTGTAGTCTCAGCTACTCAGGAGGCTGGGCAGGAGAATCACTTGAACCCAGGAGGTGGAGGTTGCAGTAAGCCAAGATCGTGCCACTGTACTCCAGCTTGGGCAACAGAGCAAGACTCCATCTCAAAAAAAAAAGAAAAAAGAAATGACACTCAACAAGAATAGGAAATCATCTTCCAGGATGCAATATACACCCTAAATCAATGACTATTACATGATATTGTATCCCCAGGAGACATAGTACATGAATTTGGAAACCAAAGAATGTCAATAGAAATGGCCCCAATTACCATCAATCCCACTGGCCCACTTGGGAAATTCGTGCTTCCCATCCCCTCAATTTTAAGGCCTAGAGATCCTGGTTCCCGGGCGGGGGTGGAGTGCTTCCACCAGGAGACATGGTAAGAGTCTCCTATAGCTATTGCCTAGTCACTTTGGGATCCTTGTGCCAAGAGACATCAAGAAAGGAAAGTAGTAACCGTACTGTCACAGGTAGTTAAGTGATCCTTATCATCAGAAGAAGATAGGGTTGCTGTTACTCAGTAGGGATAGGGAAGAATGTATTTTGCACCCAAGTGGTTTACTGAGAAATCTCTTGGTACCCCCTGCCCAATATTTATGGTAAATGGACAAGGACAGCAGCCACAGTCTAAGAAGGACATGATGACCATGTAAAGCCATGGCCACTCAATAATGACGGTCTGGGCCACCCATCAAATAAGCCATCTGGACCAGCAAAGGTGCTAGCTGAGGATGAAAGAAATCTAGACTCCTAGACTAGAGTAAGTATTAGAGGAAGGAGACTGTGGCTCAAGACCAGCTGAAGCAGTGAAGGCAATAGTTTGTCCCAATAACCTTCTTCTCAAAGTTTTTCCAGGAAAGAAAATTATTCAGAATCCTGGAGCTGTCCCCAGAATTGAATGCACAAAGTAAGCAGATCCAAGTGGTGCAAGGGATAAGCTGTAGTGGATGCTGTGGTATACCACACAGAATTCCCCCTTTAGGATTGAGCTACTCATTTCTTCAGCTGCCAGGAGTATTTTCTGCCAATGGCTCACAGCCGAATCCTTCTCTAGAAATTGCTCTGGGCAAAAGAGAGCTGCCTTGCCCAAGGTTTTGCCCCTACTCTGGCAGCAGTCCATATCCAACAACTAATCAATATAGGGATACAAAGGTCTGGCCCCCTTGCCTCAATGTGGGGCAAATCTAAAGGAATATTCCAGCACTAAAGCTCCCTGTGAGATCCATTAAGTCCTCTCTTGCAATTGTTGTGAATTCAAATTTTCTATCTGCCCAATCCTGACACACACACACACACACACCCCCCACAATGTCAAAGGAAAAAGTCTCCCCTATGAGCTCATCTCCAGAAAGCAGCGCTGCTCACTGCTTGGTGGATATTGCTTCAGATTTTTTTTCTATATAGCCAATAGCCAATATATCTTTCATAATTTGAAGAAACAATAATAAATTAAAAATATTTTAAATACCAAAAGATGATAAGAAATGGGATTAGAAAATATCAGAATTTGTTCATCTTAGGGCTCTCAGCAGTAAAAACTAACTCGCTTTATCAAAATTCTGTGTGTGTGTGTGTGTGTGTGTGTGTGTGTGTGTGTCTGTGTGTAGAGCATGTCCCACTTTAAGATACTAAAAAACTTTTTATGCTATGATTAGAGAAAAGTACTTGGGTGTCATCTCCTCTTTCAAATCAGAGCGAAAAAGAACATAAAGCATGAGAACGATAAAAATAACACCAAATGGCTAGAGGCCAGACTGTCCATAATAAACTGAGAAAGGAAAAGTGACTTGTTGGAGGAAAATACTAAATAATAAGACTTTTTATAAATTGTCATCTTCTCTTTCTATACATAGACCATGTTGAGATTTCCCCTGTTGGACCACAGATGTCCTTAGCAGCTGATTTGTCTGTATAATCAGGACCAGACAAGACATTTCATGGTTCTGTTTTCCAGTTTCATAGATGAGAAAACCAAGGCTTCAGAATACTAAGCTGACTTGTCCAGAGTCACATAGTAATGATTAGAACCCAGATGCAAACTCAAATCCTCACAGCTTTCAGTTGGCCATGTTCTTCATGCTGGCAACAATAGGAAAGACAGGTCGATGCACAATCCATTTTTAAAATCCAAAGAATGCTTAATAAACATTTATTGAGGTGATTCAGTGCAATTTTTGGTAGATGGGAAAATCCTTCAACTCATGGAATAAGTAGGCTATGCACTCTTGTTCAAATCTTAACCTACCCATAAAATGATTTAATTCCATATCTGCAAAAAGACACAAGGATGTAACTAAAAAAATTCATTCTGACCACAGCAGATTTGTCATGAACAGGCATGCAGTAATATGAAAACACTTAAAATATACACGTTATATTAAACTGGTGTTGCATGCCAGGAACATTTTGAGCCACCTGGAAGGAATATTTATTTCTTTAGAAATGATTACCCTCCAAAAAAAAACTGCAATTAGGAAAAAATTTCTCCAGGTAATTAATGCTCTGCGAAAGAAATCTAGAACAAAAAAGTAAATAGCTTTGGACTTTGCAGTCAAGATAAGAACAAAACAAATCCTCACCCCCTCTCCACCCCCTCAGCTTCCATTCCTGGTGTATCAGAACAACCACCAGTGATTGCCGCAAGAAATTATCCCAGATTAGAACAAAAACCATTTGTTATGACTTATACTTTATTTGCCAGTTTGCAGATGATGCTAAAATATGTTGGTCAAATCGACAAAAAGAAATGCAGACTTCTACATATATTCTATTTACTAGAAAATAGCACTAGCTTTAAAATTAGCAGCACAAAATTGGACTTGGGAGCAGTTTACAAATTGGCATTCCACTATGTTCATGCTCTATCAAATCTTTGTGTGACTTTTATGTATTGCTAGAGTAGCATGAAGAAAATAATGAAAGATGTTTGAAAAAAGGGGAAAAATCACCCACTTCATCCACGACATGAACACATTTTCATTTTCCTTAAAGACCTTGTCCATATGTGTAATGTAATGATCTGGTACCTATAGTTTTCCATTGTGCTATTTATTGCTTAGCATTGTCTGTGTTGCTACATAGTTATCTGCAACCTCTATTAAATGTAAAGGAGGTGACAGAATCTTAGAGGTTATGTGTGTACACACACACATATTTATTAATTTCTAATTTGATTACAGTTTACAAACTCAGAACAGGAATATTATTGCATTGACTTACTTCTCAAATATCATGGCAGCAAAAGTTCAGCTGTTGAAGAACTTGATGTCACTGAGCATTTAACTAACCTTTCAAAAAACATGATTGCAGCAAGACTTTGAGGTGAAAAGTCCAGATTTTATAAACCATTCCATTTTTATGCTTTTGTCTTTTGAGCATTTTTGTCATCGCTTTACCTTGATTTCCTAATAAAAGATATTTTAAGGAAATTCCCATCTGGTCTCAACTGAAGAAAGAAGTACAGGAAGTTGCCCTCTTCCAGGCTATGAAAGTCAGGGAGATCCATAGGCCCAAGGGGTCAGGTGTAAAGGGTAGCTGGGCCAGCAAGGGTGGAGACAGTGAGATCTCCCTGGGTCTGCAGTTGCACAGATGGGAGCAGAGAAGGTAAGAATGAGGGGCAGCTGGTGCTATCCCAGGGCATTGCATGGCTCTCTCTGTTTTACCTCCCTGAGAGACTGCAAATTCCCCAGGGCACAAACCATATCCTGGGCAAACTTACCACTAGGTCAGTAGCTGCTGAATTCATGAACTTACGTCTTGGAGAAAGTTTTGAGGCATTATAGAAGAGTGGAAATCAGCTGGGAGCTGTGGCTCACGCCTGTAATCCCAGCACTTTGGGAGGCCAAGGCGGGCAGACCACAAGGTCAGGAGTTCGAGACCAGCCTGACCAACATGGTGAAACCCTGTCTCTACGAAAAATACAAAAATTAGCTGGGTGTGGTGGCACTACCTGTAATCCCAGCACTTTGGGAGGCCAAGGCGGGCAGACCACAAGGTCAGGAGTTCGAGACCAGCCTGACCAACATGGTGAAACCCTGTCTCTACGAAAAATACAAAAATTAGCCGGGTGTGGTGGCACCACCTGTAATCCCAGCTACTCAGGAGGCTGAGGCAGGAGAATCGCTTGAACCCAGGAGGCGAAGGTTGCAGTGAGCCGAGATCACGCCACTGCACTCCAGCCCAGGTGACAGAGCGAGACTCCATCTCAAAAAAAAAAAAAAAGAAGAGTGGAAATAATAATAATGGCCACGAAGTTGTTAGTTTATTTATGCAACAAGTATTTATTGTGCATCTACTATTTGTCAGGCATTAATTACGTTGACTACCTTTTCATATGCTTCTTGGTTATCTGGATATACTTTTTGATGAAGTATCCAGTGAAGTATCTTGTCTATTTTCTTCTTGGGTTGTCTGGTTTTTTCCTTATGGGCTTGTGTAAGTTATTCATATATTCCGAATGAGTCTCTGGTCAGATATGTGTAAAGCAAATATTTTCATCTTGTCTGTGGCTTGCCATTTTACTCTAATAATGATGTTATTTAAGAAATCAAAATTCTTTATTTTGGGAGGCTGAGGCGGGCGGATCACGAGGTCAGGAGATCAAGACCATCCTAGCCAACACAGTGAAACCCCGTCTCTACTAAAAAAAAAAAATGCAAAAAATTAGCCGGACATGGTGGCACACGCCTGTAATCCCAGCTACTCAGGAGGCCGAGGCAGGAGAATCACTTGAACCCGGGAGGCAGAGGTTGCAGTGAGCTGAGATCGCACCACTGCACTCCAGCCTGGGTGATAGAGCAAGATTCCGTCTCAAACAAAAAAAAAAAGAAAGAAAGAAAGAAAGAAAAAAGAAATCAAAACTCTTACTTTTTTTTTTTTTTTTTTGAGGCAGGGTCTCAATCACAGCTCACTGCACCCTCAACCTCCTGGGCTCAAGCGATCCTCTCGCTTCAGCCTCCTGAGTAGCTGGGACTATAGGCACACACCACCACACCCAGCTAATTTTGTATCTTTAGTAGAAATGGGGTCTTGCCATAGTGGCCAGGCCTGTCTTGAATTCCTGGGCTCAAGTGATCTGCCTGCCTCAGCCTTCCAAAGTGCTGGGATTACAGGCAGGTGTGAGCCACCATGCCTGGATCAAAAGTCTTAAGTTTAATATAGTCCAGTTTTCACTTTACCTTTATAGTTAGTACTTGTGGGTCCTATTGAAGAAATCTTTGCTCACATCAAGGTTGTGAAGATATTCTCCATATTGTGTCCTAGGAGCTTTGTTGTTTTACTTTAAGTGTAGATCTACAATCCATCTGAATTGTATTTTTGTGTATGCCCTGAATTAGAGATCAAGGTTTTTCCCTCCATATGGATGGTTGCTAATCCCATCCTTTCTCTCTTTCACTGACATGACAACTTTATCATAAATCAGGTATCATGTAAGTGTGGATCTGTGTCAAGATTTTTCCGTTAGTCTAATTGTCTAGACTAGCACCAAGAAGGGGCACTGTACATTTCTAACAAGTCTTAAAATCTTTTAGTGCAGGGTGGGTGCGGTGGCTCATGCTTATAATGCCAGCACTTTGGGAGACCGAGGTGGGTAGATCATTAGAGGTCAGGAGTTCGAGACCAGCCTGGCCAACGTGGTGAAAGAAACCCTGTCTCTACTAAAAATACAAAAACTAGCCAGGTATGGTGGTGGACACCTGTAGTCCCAGCTACTGGGGAGGTTGAGGTTGAGGCAGGAGAATCAGTGGAACCCGGGAGGCAGAGGTTGCAGTGAGCTGAGATTGTATCACTGCACTCCAGCCTAGGGGACAGCTTAAGACTGTCTAAAAAAAAAAAAAAAAAAAAAAAAATCTGTTAGTGTAAGTGTTCAGGTTTTGTTCTTCAAAGTCATCTATGCTATTTTTAGCCTTCTACATGCCATATTGTTTTAAAATGTAGGTTTTATTATTATTCAGGTTTGGTGAGACTGACAGATTAAGGAACAACTGCCATTGAAAAGATAATTTGTTATTCACCGTGCCCAAGAAGAAGGGGTATGCCACACCATACAGGGCCACGTGGGGAAGCACCATGGCCAGTTAGGAGGCAGAAATGAGGAGAAAGCATGGGTAGGAGCCTTTTTTGTGGTTTTCACAGGTAGTATGGGAGAGGCAGTTACAGGCTAAGAAGGACTGGCATTGGCTAGTTTGAATAAATTCAGTAGGCTCCAGGGAGCAGGAGTGGTCCTGAGCTGTCTGGTACCTAGCCCTGGGGTGATTAGGGAAGGAGAATATTGAGGAGTAAGAGCCCTGTGAGAGTGCAACAAAGGAGGAGGTTGGAGGGTATGGGCTCTGGATTGGTTGTTTTGCATCTGAAAAGCTCCCTCACAGGAAAGCCATTTGCTATTTCTAGGAATTAGCTAGCCCTGAGAGGGGCAGTCTCTCCCAGGTCAGCAAGGCCTCCAGGATCTAAAAGATTAATAACATACAGAAAATAAAAAACATGATTAATACACATATCTATTGTAGAATCAGCTTGTCAGTTTATACACACAAACACACACACACACACACACGGTTTTTTAATTGGGTTTATATTGAATCTATTCATCAATTTGAATAGAATTAACATTTTTATAATATTAAATATTCCAGTTGATGAAAACAGAATATTCCTACCTTTTCTTTCTGTTGAAGTCTTCTTTAATTCCCATGAGTAATACTTTTAGTTTTCTATGTAGATGACTTGCATATTTTTGTTGAAATTATTTCTGGGATTTGGTAAATTTTGATGCTATCTAAATGATATCATTTATTGGATTTTTCTCATTGTTGATTGCTAGTATGTAGAAATACAATTGATATTTGTTATATTGATCTATAGAGAGATTTTGCTAAATTCACTTAATTCTAATAGTTTATGAATTCTTTTACATTTTCCTACATACAAATCATATTGTCTGAAAATAATGAGTTTTATTTCTTCCCTTCCAACTAATATAATATACCTTTTCATTCTTTTGAGACAGAGTTTCGCTCTTGTCACCCAGGCTGCAGTGCAATGGTGAAACAGCTCACTGCAACCTCCTCCTGGGTTCAAGCAATTCTCTCGCCTCAGCCTCCCGAGTAGCTGGGATTACAAGCGCATGTCACCATGCCCCACTAATTTTTGTATTTTTAGTAGAGACGGGGTTTCGTCATGTTAGCCAGGCTGAACTCCTGACCTCAGGTGATCCTCCCCGCTTGGCCTCCCAAAGTGCTGGGATTACAAGTGTGAGCCACCGCACCCAGCCTCTTTTTTTTTTTATTATTATTTTATTTTTTGAGATGGAGTCACTCTGTTGCCCAGGCTGGAGTGCAGTGGTGCAATCTTAGCTAACTACAACCTCCAGCTCCCGGGTTCGAGCAATTCTCCTGCCTCAGCCTCCTGAGTAGCTAGGATTACAGGTGTGCACCACAACACCCGGCTAATTTTTGTATTTTTAGTAGAAATGGGGTTTCACCATGTTGGTCAGGCTGGTCTCGAACTCCTGACCTCAAGTTATCCGCCCATCTCACCCTCCCAAAGTGCTAGGATTACAGGCGTAAGCCACCGCACCCAGCCCTTTTTCATTATTTTGCTTGCCTTGTTGTATTGTCTAAGAGCTCCTATCATAAATCTGAATAGAAGTGATGTTAGCAAGCATCCTTTTCTTATTCCCAATCTGAAAGGGAAAGTTTTCAATATTCCATCAAGCATATTTACTGTATTTTTTTGATTGACAACCTTTACCTTATTACAGAAATTCCTGATATTTCTAGTTTGCCAAGAGCTTTTATTTTTAAAAAACTATACATAGATACTGAATTATATAAAATAATAGTATCTATTGAAGTGATCATATAGTTTTTCTCCTTTATTCTATAATTGTGGTAAATTATATTGATTATATTTTTGAATGATAAATGAATTGTCAGTCTTGGAATAAATCCAATTTATCATGACTTACTATTCTTTTTATTTATATTTAAAATTTTTATTTAATTAATTTATTTAGAGCTGGGATCTCCCTATGTCACCCAAGCTGGTCTTGAACACCTGGCCTCAAGCCTTGACCTTCTGAGTAACTGGGATTACAGGCCTGAGACACTGCACTCAGCTCTATTCATTTTTTATATATAGCTGAATCCAGTATAATAATATATTATTTTGACCGGGCACAGTGCCTCATGCCTATGATCTCAGCACTTTGAGGGGCCGAGGCAATCAGATCACTTTAGGCTGGGAGTTCAAGACCAGCCTGGCCAACATGGTGAAAACCTGTCTCTACTAAATACAAAAAAATTAGCTGGGTGTGGTGGTGCACGCCTGTAATCCCAGCTACTTGGGTGACTGAGGCATGAGAATGGCTTGAACCTGGGAGGTAGAGGTTGTAGTGAGCTGAGATCGCACCACTGCACTCCAGCCTGGGTGACAGAGTGACACTCCAGCCTGGGTGACAGAGTGAGTCTCTGTCTCAAAAAAAAATTTTTTTTATTTTGTATATTTGCATATATGGTAATGAGAAAGACTGGCTTGTAATTTTCTTTTCTTATATTTTTTAGTTGTTGTATCAAGATTATGTTGAACTTACAAAATGAGTATTTCTGCTTTTTCTCTTCTCTGGAAGAGTTTCTATAAAATTGTGTATTAGTATCCCTAGGCTGTTGTAACAAAGTACTGCAAATTGGGCTGCTTAAAACAACAGAAATATATTCCCTCATAGTTGTGGAGGTTGGAAGTCCAAAATCAAGGAGCAGTAGCGTTGGTTCCTTCTGTGAAGGCTCTGAGGGAGGATCTGCTCCATGCCTCTCTTGTGGCTTCCGGTGAAGCCAATCCTCAGTGTTTCCTGGCTCACAGATACATGGCCTCCATCTTCACCTGGCATTCTGTCTTCGCATGGTTGTCTTCTTATAAGGACTCAAGTCATATTGGTTTAGGCGCTCCAGCGTGACCTCATTTTAATGAATAGCATCTGCAATGCCCTATCTCCAAATGTACTCACATTTGGAATTCTGAGATACTGGGGGTTAAGACTTCAACATATCCATTTTTGGAAGGGACACAATTCAACCCATAACAGATTGTGTTATTTGTTTCTTTGAAAGTTTAGAAGAATTAATCAACGAAGCCATCTGGGTGTACAATTATATTGTAGGAAAATTTTAAATTATGGATTTCTTTTTTTTTTTTTTTCCAGACAGGGTCTCTCTGTTGCCTAGGCTGTAGGACGGTGGCACAATCACAGCTCACTGAAGCCTCAGCCGCCTAGGCTCAAGTGATGCTCCCCTCTCAGCCCCCAACAAGTAGCTGGGACTAGAGGTGCTCACCAACACATCTGGCTAATTTTTAAATTTTCTGTAGAGGTGGGGTCTCCCAATCTGCACAGACTGCTTCCAAACTTCTGGCCTCAAGGAGTCCTCCCACCTCAGCCTCTCAAACTCTTAGGAATACAGGTGTAAGCCACGGCACCTTGCCACATTCCACTTATTTAACAATAATAGACCTATTCAGATTTTTCAGTTCTTATGTGAGTCGAGGTCAAGTTTTTTAAGGAATTTGTTCATTCGTATAAATTTTCAAATTTATTAGCATAGTTGTTCATAATATCCTTTTACTACTTAAGTATTGATATATTTTGTGTTTTATGGTCCCCTTTCATTATGGTACTATACCTTTTCTCTTTAAAAATATATTTTATTTTTAAATAAATAAAATGGAATATATTTGCATAATTTCCAAAATTGTAGGGATATTCAAATTTTTTGTTTTCTTTTAAAATTGCTTATTAGCTTATCTTCATTGTGGTCAAAAAACATACTCTGCATGGCAATTCTTTGAAATTTGCATGTGCACTTAATAAGTATATATACAGGCAGTGGCTCACACCTGTAATCTCAGCACTTTGGGAGGCCGAGGTAGGCGGATCACTTAAGGCCTGGAGTTCCAAACCAGCCTGA
This sequence comes from Homo sapiens, assembly GCF_000001405.40. Taxonomy (NCBI): domain Eukaryota; kingdom Metazoa; phylum Chordata; class Mammalia; order Primates; family Hominidae; genus Homo; species Homo sapiens. The sequence goes on from NW_025791763.1 coordinate 49,976, forward strand.
CTAACATGGCCAAACCCCGTCTGTACTAAAAAAATGTATATATACAAAAATTAGCCAGGCGTGGTGGCACATGCCTGTAATCCCAGCTACTCGGGAGGCTGAGGCAAGAGAATCGCTTTAACCTGGGAAGCGGAGGTTGTAGTGAGCCGAGATCGTGCCGCTGCGCTCCTGCCTGGGCAACAGAGAGTCTGTCTCAAAAAATTAAATTAAATTAAATTTTAAAATAGGGCCGGGCGCGATGGCTCACGCCTGTAATCCCAGTACTTTGGGAGGCCGAGTCGGGCGGATCACGAGGTCAGGAGATTGAGACCATCCTGACCAACACGGTGAAACCCTGTCTCTACTAAAAATACAAAAATTAGCCGGGTGTGGTGGCACGTGCCTATAGTCCCAGCTACTTGGGAGGCTGAGGCAGGGGAATCACTTGAACCCAGGAGGTGGAGGTTGCAGTGAGCCAAGATCACGCCACTGCACTCCAGCTTGGCGACAGAGTGAGACACCGTCCCCAAAAATAAAATATATATATATATTTTATTTTAAATAAATAAAATGGAATATATTTGCATAATTTCCAAATTTTTCGGATATTCAAATTGCCTATTTTCTTTTAAAATTGCTTTTTTTGAGATGGAGTCTTTGCTCTGTCTCCCAGGCTGGAGTGTAGTGGCATGATCTCGGCTCACTGCAAGCCCCGCCTCCCAGATTCACGCCATTCTCCTGCCTCAGTCTCCCGAGTAGCTGGGACTACAGGCACCCGCCACCACACCAGGCTAATTTTTTGTATTTTTTAGTAGAGACAGGTTTTCACCATGTTAGGCCAGGATGGTCTCGATCTCCTGACCTCGTGATCCGCCCGCCTCGGCCTCCCAAAGTGCGGGGATTACAGGCATGAGCCACCACGCCCGGCCTTAAAATTGCTTTTTAGTTTATCTCCACTGTGGTCAAAAAACATACTCTGCATGGCCATTCTTTGAAATTTGCATGTGCACTTAAAAAGCATATAGAGGCGGGGCGCAGTGGCTCACACCTGTAATCCCAGCACTTTGGGAGGCCGAGGTGCGTGGATCACTTGAGGCCAGGAGTTCGAGACCAGCCTGGCAAACATGGTGAAACCTTGTCTCTACTAAAAATACAAAAATTAGCTGGGCGTGGTGGCACGCACCTGTAATCCCAGCTACTCGGGAGGCTGAGGAATTGCTTGAACCGGGGCGGCGGAGGTTGCAGTGAGCTGAGATCACACCACTGCCCTCCAGCCTGGGTGACAGAGTGAGACTCCATCTCAATTAAAAAAAAAAAAAGCATATGGATTCTGCAGTTGTTGTTGCAATGTTTTCTATATACGTCAAGTTTGTTAATTGCATTGTTCAAGTCTTCTATATTTTTGTTGATTTTTTGTGGCTTGTTTGGTCAGTTACAGAAAGAGTTATATTAAAATTGCCAGCTATGATTGTAGTTTTGTCTACTTCTCCTTTTCGTTCTGTTTTTACGCATATTTTTGAAACTATGTTATTAGGTAAATGAAAATTTTGAGTTATTTTTATCTTCCCCTTTTATCATGATGAAATGTCCCACTTATTTCTACTAATATTTTTGTTTTAAAGCCTACTTCATCTAACATTAGTATAGATAAATCAGCTTTCTTCCCCCACGCTATCCCCGGAGTCTTACTCTGTTGCCCAGGCTGAAATCTGGAATGCAATGGCGGAATCTTGCTGCCTAATGGTTTCAAGCAATTCTCCTGCTTCAGCCTCCTGAGTAGCTGGGATTACAGGCATGTATCACCATGCCCACCTAATTTTAATTTTTTTAGTAGAGATGAGGTTTCACCATCTTGGCTAGGCTGGTCTTGAACTCCTGGCCTCAAATGATCCACCTGCCTCAGCCTCCTAAAGTGCTGGGATTACAGGCGGGAGCCACTGCACTCGGCCTAATCAGCTTGCTTTCTTTTATTTATTTATTTATTTTTGAGACGATGTCTCACTCTGTCGCCAGGCTGGAGTGCAGTGGCACGATCTTGTCTCACTGCAACCTCTGCCTCCTGAGTTCAAGTGATTCTCCTGCCTCCGCCTCCCGAGTAGCTGGGACTACAGGCGCATGCCAACACACCCAGCTAATTTTTGTATTTTTAGTAGAGACAGGGTTTCACCATATTGGCCAGGAGGGTCTCGATCTCTTGACCTCGTGATCTGCCCGCCTTAACCTCCCAAAGTGCTAGGATTACAGGCATGAGCCACCGTGCCCAGCTAATCAGCTTTCTTTAGGTTAGCATTTTTTATGTTTATCCTTCTCCCTCTTTTTACTTTCAACCTGATTTGTCATCACCTCAAGGGTGTAGCTTTTGTAAGCAGCAGATAGCTGCTTTTTAAAAATATACTCTAAAAATCTTGTCTTTAAATTTGGAGTGTTTAGATCATATACATTTAAAATAATTACTGAAATTTTGACTGTATCATTTTAATATATTTTTATTTGTCTCATTTGTTCTTTAATTTTTGTCTCCTTTCTTCTTTCTTGCTCATTAGTTTGTTAGTAATATTCTTTTCTTTTTTTTTTTTTTTTTGAGACAAAGCCTCCCTCTGTCACCCAGGCTGGAATGCAGTGGCACAATCTCGGCTCACTGCAACCTCTGCCTCCTGGGTTCAAGTGATTCTCCTACCTCAGCCTCCCAGATAGCTGGGACCACAGGTGTGTGCCACCATGCCTGGCTAATTTTTGTATTTTTAATAGAGAAGGGGTTTCACCGTGTTGATCAGGCTGGTCTCGAACTTCTGACCACCTGCCTAGGCCACCCAAAGTGCTGGGATTACACGTGTGAGCCACCACACCCAGCCAGTTATACATTCTTTAATTATTCAGTGAGTGTTATTCTAGGGATGAACACATGCATTCTTGACTTACTAGAGTGCACCTTATTTATTTATTTATTTATTGAGACAGAGTCTTGTTCTCTCTCCCAGGCTGGAGTGCAGTGACACAATCTCGGCTCACTGCAACCTCTGCCTTCTGGGTTCAAGCAATTCTCCTGCTCCAGCCCTCCTAGCAACTGAGATTACAGGTGTGCGCCACCATGCCCAGTTAATTTTTGTATTTTTAGTAGATACGGGGTTTCGACATGTTGGCCAGGCTGGTCTCAAACTCCTGACCTCAAGTGATCCACCACCCTCAGCCTTCCAAAGTGCTGGGATTACAGGCATGGGCCACCACGCCTGGCCTACTAGAGTGTACTTTAAATTCCTACTTTCACGACTTCTCAGACAACCTTAGTTTGGTTCAATGCCATATCCCCCCTCTGCCTTTTGTCCTATTGTTGTCATGTATTTTATTTTATTTTATTTATTTTTGAGATGGAGTCTCGCTCTGTCGCCCAGGCTGGAGTGCAGTGGCACAATCTCAGCTCACTGCAACCTCCACCTTCCGGGTTCAAGCAGTTATCCTGCCTCAGCCTCCTGAGTAGTTCAGATTGCAAGTGTGCGCCACCACATCCGGCTAATTTTTGTATTTTTAGTAGAGATAAGGTTTTGCCATGTTGGCCAGGCTGGTCTCAAACTCCTGACCTCAGGTGATCTGCCTGCCTCGGCCTCCCAAAGTGCTGGGATTACAGGTGAGCCACTGCACCCAATCCCCATTGACTATTGATGTTATTTTCAATGTCCTAAACTCTTTTAGCAATGGTGAAAGGCAAGTTTATTTTCTCTGGACATATTTCTGTGGCTACTGCTCTTGAGTACAATTTAATTAAGTCACCATCAGTTAATAGCTCTCCTTGCTTTACTAACAAATGAGCCTCTAGGACACTTACTTTGTGAAGAAATTTTGCTGTGATTAGATATTCTGATTTCAATTTTTTTTTGAGATGGAGTTTCGCTCTTGTTGCCTAGGGTGGAGTACAATGGTGTGATCTTGGCTCACTGCAACCTCCGCCTCCTGGGTTCAAGCGATTCTCCTGCCTCAGCCTCCCTAGTAGCTGGGATTACAGGTGCCCGCCACCATGCCCAGCTAATTTTTTGTATTTTTAGTAGAGACAGGGTTTCACTATCTTGGCCAGGCTGGTCTCGAACTCCTGACCTCAGGCAATCCACCTGCCTCAGCCTCCCAAAGTGCTGGGATTACAGGCGTGAGCCACCGCGCCCCGCTTGATTTCAATTTTTAAATTTTTCTGGTCATTCCTTTCCTCTCAGTTGGGAAAATTGTTGATGAGTGCTTACTCTCGTGATGTTGACATATGTTCTCTTAGCATAACTGCTGTTGTTGCATACTAAACACAACGCTTTGTCACCTAATTTGCTAATAAAATAATCCATACTTCACTGTGCCTTCAAAGCACAAAATTCATAGTCTACTGATATGGTTTGGCTCTGTGTCTCCATCCAAATCTCATGTTGCATTGTAATCCCCATGAGTTGAAGGAGGGGCCTCGTGGAGGTGACTGAATCACGGGGCAGGGGGACCTTCTTTCTTGCTGTTCTCATGGTAGAGTTCTTACGAGATCTGGTTGTTTGAAAATGTGTAGCGCTTCCTCTCTGTCTCTCTCTCCTGCCACCATGTGAAGAAGTCGCTTGCTTCCCCTTCACCTTCTGCCATGACTGTAAGTTTCCTGAGGCTTTCCAGTCATGCTTCCTGTTAAGCCTGTGGAACTGTGAGTCAATTAAACCTCTTTTCTTCATAAATTACCCAGTCTCAGGTACTTCTTTATAGTAGTGTGGCAACGGATGAATACATCTACTTTTCTTTTCTTGTTTTGACATAATGGATATGCCCTGGTAATAAAAATTTAAAATAAATGTCGCAGTACAGAGATATGCATGGCACTGAAAACACTGTATCACCGTGATTTGTGGTGTACTGAGCAGCAGTATGAAGTGATAAGAGCATATACTGTCCCTGTTGCAACTACAGTCAGGCACCATATAACAAAGTTTTGGTCAATGAGGGATCACATACATGATAGGGTCCCATAAAATTGTAATACTATATTTTTACTGTGCCTTTTCTATCTTTACATATGTTTGGATACACACGTACCAATGTATTACAGTTACCTGCAGTATTCAGTACAGTAACATGGTGAACAGGTTTGTAACCTAGGAGAAACAGGCTATACCATATACTCTAGGTGTGTAGTAGGCTATACCACCTAGGTTTGTGTATACTCCATATGTTCACAGAGCAATGAAATTGCCTATTTCTCAGAATGTATCCCTATCATTAAGCAATACATGTCCTAAACTCCATCATTGTTTTGTGAAAGCAGCCATTGGCAATGTATAGGCTAAGGAGTATGGCTATGTTCCAATAAAACTTTATCAACACTGATATTTGAATTTCATATAATTTTCATGTGTCATAAATATTATCCTTATTTTTATTTTTATTTTTTGGGACAAAATTTCGCTCTTGTTGCCCAGGCTGGAGCGCAACGGCGCGATCTCGGCTCACTGCAACCTCCGCCTCCCGGGTTACAGGCATCTGCTACCACGCCTGGCTAATTTTTTTTTTTTTTTTTTTTTTGAAACGGAGTCTCGCTCTGTCGCCCAGGCTGGAGTGCAGTGGCACGATCTCGGCTCACTGCAAGCTCCGTCTCCCGGGTTCACGCCATTCTCCTGCCTCAGCCTCCTGAGTAGCTGGGATTACAGGCGCCCGCCACCACGACCGGCTAATTTTTTGTATTTTTAGTAGAGACGGGGTTTCACCGTGTTGACCAGGATGGTCTTGAATTTCTGACCTCAGGTGATCCACCCGCCTCGGCCTCCCAAAGTGCTGGGATTACAGCCGTGAGCCACTGCGCCTGGCCCTTATGATCTTTTTCAACCACTTAAAAATGTAAAAAAAGCGGCCGGGCGACGTGGCTCACACCTGTAAAACCAGCACTTGGGCGGATCACCTGAGGTCAGGAATTCGAGACCAGCCTGGTCAACATGGAGAAACCCCGTCTCTACTAAAAATACAAAATTAGCCGGGCGTGGTGGTGCATGCCTACATTCCCAGCTACTCAGGAGGCTGAAGCAGGAAAATTGCTTGAACTCGGGAGGTGGAGGTTGCAGTGAGCCGAGATGGCACCATTGCACTCCAGTCTGGGCAACAAGAGTGAAACTCCGTCTCAAAAAAAAAAAAAAAAAAGTAAAAAAAAAAAGTCTTAGCTGAGACCATTCAAAAACAGGCAGCAAGCTGTAGTATGCTGCTCTAGATGGTTGTTTTTGGTTTGGCCTCTATGCCTGGTGCTACAAATCACCAAATTCTCTGAGGGGATGAAACAGCAGTGAATACAAACTCGCTTGAATGAATTTCCCTTCTGGTATTTTGACTCCTCACGTCCTGGCTGACTTGGTTGACAGTGATGCCTTCAACTCAGCTGGGTTTTGTTGTTTTATTTTGGTATTTTATCCAGTTTATAGTTAGTTGTTCTTGATGAAGGAGTCAATCTGACATCAATACCCCATTAGAATGGGAAGTGGAAGTCTACATGTTAATTTTAATTTGCTACTTTTGCTTACCATTATGAGCCTCCTTCTATATTGACAAATATATCTCCACAATGTCATAACATTCCATTAGATGAATGCACCATGATTTAACTTAATAATTCCCTATAGGGGACATTGAAATTGTTTCTAGATTTTTTCACTGTGATGAACACACTTCTACAGGTTTATTTTTGTACCTAGTTGTTTCCTTCAGATAAAATCCTAGAAGTACGTGGATAAGTCAAAGGGTTCACACTTTTAAAGGTATTTCACAGGTATTACCAAACTTCTCTTTAGAACTGTTACACAATGGCCCAGCATCTATGTGCTTCTTAGTATAGGGGCCAATGCTGGGTGTTACCATTCTTTTCTTCCTTTGCCAATCTGACAGATGAAAACTGGTTATCTCAATGCTGTTTCCGTTTGCATTTCTGGTTTATAGGTGTGGCAGGCTGATAATGGCTTACTCCCAAAGCTGCATCTATGACCTAATCCCTGGAAACTGTGAATGTTTAAGGAAAAGAGGTCTTTGCAGATATGAAGTTAAGGATTTTGACATGGACAGGTTATCCAGGTGGTCCTTAAATGCTATCACAAGTATCACTTTTTTTTTTTTTTTTTTTTTTTTGAGACAGAGTCTCACTCTGTCGCCAAGGCCGGAGTGCAGTGGTGCCATCTCAGCTCACTGCAACCTCCTCCCTCCAAATTCAAGCGATTCTCCTGCCTCAGCCTCCCAAGTAGCGGGGATTACAGGCGCCTGCCACCACACCTGGCCAATTTTTTGTATTTTTGGTAGAGACAGGGTTTCACCATGTTGGCCAGGCTGGTCTGGAACTCCTGACCTCGTGATCCACCTGCCTTGGTTTCCCAAAGAGCTGGGATTACAGGCGTGAGCCACTGTGCCCGGCCACAAGTATGGTTTCTTACAAGAAGGGGGCAGAGGAAAATTTGTCACAGACAAAAAAAGGAGAAGGCAATGTGATTACAGACGCAAGGGTGGGAGTGATGTGGTCACAAGCCCCCAGAAGCTGCAAGAGACAAGGGTAGATTCTTTTCGGAGCCTCCAGAGGGAGCATGGCCCCGTCAACACCTCCATTTCTACTCAGTGAAACTGACAGTGGACTTCTGTCTTCCACAACTATGAGAGGATAAACTTCTGTTGTTTTAAGCCACCAAGTTTTCGTGATTTGTGACAGTAGCAGCAGAAAACTAGTACAATAGGTTTTTCATATATTTATGGACCATAAACATGAAAAATCGTCTGACTTTTAAATCTTATAAAAATAAAATAACACACAATAATACAAAGAGTATGATTCTATGTATGTACATCAGAATATCTGTAAATACGTTTACATATGTTCATAACTGCCTAGGAAAGTGTCTGGAAGGATATATACCAAACTAGTGACAGTGGTTAACCAGAGGCAGTTAACTGAAAGTGGTTAATTAGAAGGGTCCTGTGTCCTGAGGGGGAAAGAGGAACTTTTACTTGTTACTCGATACTGCTCAAGATACATCTGTTATTTGAAAACGCTTTATGAGACTGTACTCATGTATTGTGTAAAAAATTAGAAAAGGCATATCTGCTTGTTATAAAGTTCATAGAAACCAGAAAACTATCTCCTTTCACTTATCCTTTCCCAGAAATAGTCATTGATAATAATTTGCATCTTCTCAGATTTTTTTCTACGCAGAAATAAATGTGTATAATTTTTTTAAAAACAAAAATAAAATAGTGAGTGTCATATATAGTGTTTCATTTAAAGATGTTCCTCCAAAATCAATCTTGGTCCATGTGCCTGTGTGTGTGTGTGTGTGTGTGTGTGTGTGTGTGTGTGTGTGTGTGTGTATGGGTGGGGGGAGGGGCGGGGACACTGCATAGAACTGGCCAGCTGCATGGACTGTCACTGTAAAGAAAGATGAAGAATGCATGTCACCAAGCTCTCTGATGCTTTGAACCTAGCATATGTGGCTTTGCCCATATGTGCGGGCACCTCTGTAGAAACTCTTCTGCCAGTTGGGCTGAAAATAGTTTTACATAGTTCCATACTGCCTTCCAAGCTGTTTTCAAAGTTTATGCTCTAATAGTTCCCCACGGAGGATAACACAAGATATTCATTTTCCTCAAACTTTCCCGCACAGGTTGGAGAGAAACGACATCTTAATGTCATTGTAACAGGCATTTCTTTATTAAAAAAATTTTTTTTTTGGAGACAAGGTCTTGCTATGTTGCCCAGGCTGGTCTCAAACTCCTGGGCTCCAGCGATCCTCCTGCCTAGGCCTCGGGAGTAGATGGAACTCCAGGCGCGGGCCGTGGCGCTCGCACCACAGGCATTACTTAGGTATGAGGCTGGTTGAGCATTTTTCTCGTGTTCACTGGCTACTCACGCAGCTTTGTGAATGGCTTCGGAGATCACTGGACAGGCAATTTTCCCTCTCAATGAACCAAATCCAAATTCTTTTGGAACCCAAGACCGCGATTTTTCGATTTAGGACCTAGTCCCAAACAATGAAGAAAAGGTGATCTTCAAGATTTCAGCAGGGAAATCTGTATATCTGTACAAGGTTGAAAACCTGGGCCGGGGGTCGCGTTGGAACCCCACAGGAAAAAGGCGCGGAAAGCCGCCGGGCATTTTCCGGGGTTCCATAGATGTCCCCAGTGTCCTAGTCCGTGCATCAGCTCGCGCACTCGGAGGGACTCTAGGCAGGGGGAGGGCCCCGCGGCCAGTATGTGCGTCCGAGGCTTTCCCGCAGGGGGCAGTGCCGCCCGCCCGCGCGCCGATACGGTGGGAGGGGGTGGGAACCTGCGCGGAGTTCTGGAGGTTCTTTGGGAGAAAGTTAGGGGATGCGGAGGGGTGGGCGCAAGACTTCCAGGACTCCAGGGAGGCCGTGGGGAGGGCCGCCGAGGGTGCAGTGTGAGGCGCAGGAGGGGGTTGGGGGCGGTGCACGTTGCAGGGAGACGCAGCCCCTGGAAGATGCGAGTGTGAACGTGTGAGTGTGAGTGCGTGTGTATGTGTGTGTGTGCGCGCGCACCGCAGCTCTCCGGGTTCCGCGAGGCGCGCGGGTGTCAGCTTGCAGCCGGGGCTCCTCCCTCCGGCCCCCCTGCCCAGCCCGGCGGTCCCTCCTCCCTCCCTCCCCGCTCGCCCCTCCCCGGCGGGCCAGGGGCTGGGACGCCCCGGCGGAGCAGGCGGCGGCGGTGGCGAGTTGGGGAGCCCTAGGCTCGGCGCTGCCGGAGGGGCCCGAGCCGAGCCGCCTGCGCCCCGGCCGGGCAGCGCCGGGCCCGCTTCCCGCGGGGCCACGCCCTGTCAAACTTTGTTGCGGCGGCTAGCGCAGCGGGCCCGCAAGCGGGCGGGAGGGGCGCCGGGCCGGGCCGGGCAGGGCGCGGGCGGCTAGGGGCTCCGAGAGCGGCGGCCCCGGCCCGCGGCCCCACCATGCCCCAGCTCGGCGGCGGGGGCGGCGGCGGCGGCGGCGGCAGCGGGGGAGGCGGCGGCTCCAGCGCCGGGGCGGCCGGCGGAGGGGACGACCTCGGGGCGAACGACGAGCTGATCCCCTTCCAGGACGAGGGGGGCGAGGAGCAGGAGCCGAGCAGCGATAGCGCCTCGGCGCAGCGGGACCTAGACGAGGTCAAGTCGTCCCTGGTCAACGAGTCGGAGAACCAGAGCAGCAGCTCGGACTCGGAGGTAAGGAAGCACCGCGGCCACCCCCGGGGGATCCCGGCCCTGCGTCCGCTCACCCGCTCTTGCCTTTGTGTCTCCTCCGCAGGCGGAGAGGCGCCCGCAGCCCGTCCGGGACACTTTCCAGAAGCCGCGGGACTATTTCGCCGAAGGTATGTGCCCGCTGGGACAGCCCCCCACTCTCGATTCCCGCTGCGCTCCGCTGCTCAGCCCGGGCGGCCCACCGTCCCCCTTGCTTGGGTGGACGCACCCTTGCCCTCCGCCTTTATTGGCGGCAGCCCCCGTGGGGCGCGCGTGGGGGGCGCTGGGGTCCCCAGCTCCCGCCTCGAGCCCCCTGCCGCGGCGCTGTCAGTCCCGGGGGCCTGGGCCTCACCTCGCCTTGGTCTTGTTCGCAGTGAGAAGGCCTCAGGACAGCGCGTTCTTTAAAGGACCCCCGTACCCTGGGTACCCCTTCCTGATGATCCCGGACCTGAGCAGCCCGTACCTCTCCAACGGACCCCTGTCTCCCGGAGGAGCGCGCACCGTGAGTGCCCGTCGGGCGCGCCGGGGAGGGTGGGAGGCCGCGGCCCGCAGGATGCGCCCCCGGGCTTGGCCATGGAGTGGGGGATGGGGCCTTCTGCGCCGATCCCAAGCAGAACTTGTTTGCGGAGTTGAACTACTCTCTGGCGGCCGAGCGCGAGGCTGCGCTGGCCAGTGCCTGGATGAAAGTAAAGTTACTTTAACTTTTCCCCTCTTGCGGGTTGAGGTTTTGGAGTCCACCTCTGGGATCTTCCTTGGCCTCCAGAATTCTTCGCCTGCACCGAAGGAAACTTGGATTTGTGCCCGCTTTGGGGGGGTCTCGCTTTCCTTCTTGGAAATCGGTCAGCTTTCTCTGGCAGTGGGGCAAGGGGCCTAGGGAGCTGGGTTGGCGACGTTGTCCTCCGACTCCGGGTTCACTGGGCGGCTGCAGGCTGGTTCCTAAGAAACCCAGTTTTCGTGGCGGGTTATTCACAGCCCCCGTTCCCACCCCCAGCCCTCGCACCGGGGCCTCAGCTTTTCTGCGGAGCTAGCTCCGAATTTTAAACTCGCGTAGATGATTTCGAGGCGACCCAAGGCATTCTTCAAGTTGAGGAACTTGGCTTTTTCCCCCTTTTGTCGCCTGCTTTTCTCATTTAAAGCGAGCGCTGCGACACTTTAAACCTGTTAATGGGCGCGTATTGTGTGCTGCCCGCTGGCATTTAGAGCGGTGATTAAGCAAATTGACCGGGCCCCAGACGACGTGCAAATGAGGGCGGATTCCTTCGCCCCCTCTCTCTGGCTCTAAACTCCCGCCCCCCGCGTTGCGAGGGGCGCAGCTGGGGGCTGGCGAGGCCTTTGTGTCCCCCAAGCCGCCACTCCACCCCTAGGCTCCCTGCCCAGGTGCTGGGTCCGATGACAGATGTTGGGTGAACGCCTACCTACTGTGTGCCAGGTTCCCGCGTGCTGCTGCTTGGGCGCGATGTGAATCGTAGTAGTTCTTTGCTTCCCGCCCAGATTCCCATTGCCTGCCACTTCGCTGTCGACGGTGGGTAAGGGGGCAGGGAGTGTTAGCCTCTTAGGAGCAGGGTCCCAGCAACACACTTTATGCTAAGACTGCCCTAAAATAACGACGATAATTAAAGGGTGCTAGAGAAAGGCTAGGTGCTGAATGGCCATTCCTGCTGTCATTGTACAGCGGTCGGTGGAGAGCCAAGTCCTCCACATTTGGTTCAGCGGGGGCGCTACCATCACCAGATGGGTTGGAGGGGGATTGACGGGGGGCGGTGGAAGAGACTCTGACTGAGAGAGAGGGGAATGGGGAGTGGGACTACACAGACCTCACAGTTTTGCCCCGAGAGGGAGGGAGGTCTTGCAGCTTTGGCCCTGCTGGCCTGGAGCACCCCAGGAAGTCCTGAATGTAAGTGTCAGTTTTGCAGTGAAAACTGGATGTGGGTCTATGGCTGTTGCTTTTTCTCATTAAAAGAAAAGAGGTGCGTGCCAATCAAAGGGGGGGGGGGATCAACGAGCTGCTGCGGTCTTATTTAGGTTTTCAGTGATTCCCACCAGTGCCCACACATGTAGCTTAGTTCTGCAAGTTTTGTTGGGATTCGTGTAACTTTGCGTATGGGGGAGAGTTAATGCCGCTAAAGTCTCAGGTTTCCATTTACTATTAGGATATCTAGAGAGAGGGGTCTGGGAGGCACTAGCATCTGTGCATCAGCCCTCAGCCAAGTCCTGATGCAGTTAAAGTCACCAGAAATGACTATTTCACCATCAAATATGACTATGGCTCCCTCAAGGCTATTTCTCCATGCACCCATTTCTCTTTAGGGCATTTTGATTCATCCAGGCTCTGCTGTCTGCTCTCTCTGACAGTCCAAGTGAGACAGATTTTTGTTAGTGTCCCCTCCTTCCTTCCTTCTATCACATTATGTGTTCTTTCGCCTAAGAACTTCCAAAGGCTGATTCTTGCTGATCCTGGAGATTCCTGATTACTAAATCCAGGCCCGTGTGGGATTTTGGAGCCCCTCCTTGAGGCAGCCAACCTTTCGTCTCTGCATGCCTCTCTGACTGTCCTTGTTCATCTCTGCAGTTGTTCCCTGCCCTGGCCCAGGCACCAGCCTCCTTTCAAGCCTCCTAGGACATGTACTTTCTTGGGGACTTAGTATGTCCCATCCCACCCCCATACCTACATCTTGTCTCCCTGGTGACTTGCCCTTACAGAAGTTAGTTCAGTTCCCAGTGTTTCTGTGTCTCTGTGTGCCTTTCGCTGTGTTAGTTCACGGATATACTGGGGAAGTGTCCTGCCCTTAGGTCAGCACAGTTAAACCTAATTTGACCCTGTTCGTTTGCTGCCAGTAAGTAAAGCAAGTGAGGAAACACTTAAGCACTTGGTTGTCTGGACTATAGGGTGGAGATGATGGTTTTCTGCTGAACGATTCTATTAATATAATTAAGATAATTGTCACTGTAGGCAAATGGTAGGTACAGACAAAGTGGCCCTCTGTTGGTTTCCCAGCCTGGTAAAATGAATGTGGATAGATACGAGTGGGGAGGGAGGAGGGAGGAAAGTGCCTGGGATATATGATCCGATCTCTCTGACATCTTAGGTCTTTTTTATTGTTTGGCCTCTAAACTGCACCACTTTAGGCTTTGCTGCTCTAAGGCCTAGAGGTAGTATAAAATTAGGTGACCCCAGTTATCTGCTGCTCTAACACTTCCTCTGGAAATACCAAGCCAGATGCAGAAGTGGGAATTGTCTGGATTGTTTTCAGGGTGTTAATGAACCCTAGGAATAGCAGGCAGGAGGCTTCAGCAGCCTCACCCACTGGCATAATTCCTGCTGAGACCACTGGGGGCTGGCCCATCCTACAGTCTGGCCATCTCTCCCCATGAGCCATCACCCTTGCCCTCCACTCTGGTTTGGCTGGGATGCTGGGAAGTGGCTTTTTCCTGAGGCTCTTTAGAGAAGAGGTCCCCTCAGCATGGGATGTGGGCCAAGTCTCTGTGAGCTGCAATTGCTTCTTGTCTGGAGGCCCTGGGACCCTGTGAAGAGAGGAATAACTGCCACAAACCATTTTTCAAATAATCACCTCAAAATTATACATTCATTTCTGAAAAGGCTTCACGGTTTACTAAACTACTTTGGGGCTGTTGCCTAGAATTTTGTTAGGAAAATGTAAGTTGGCTGGGTGCGGTGGCTTAGGCCTGTAATCCCAGCACTTTGGGAGGCCAAGGCGGGCGGATCACCTGAGGTCGGGAGTTCGAGACCAGCCTGGCCAACATGGTGAAACCCCATCTGTACTAAAAATACAAAAATTAGCCAGGCGTGCTGGCGAGCACCTGCAATTCCAGCTACATTGGAGACTGAGGCATGAGAATCTCTTAAACCCGGGAGGCAGAGGTTGCAATGAGCTGAGATTGTGCCACTTCACTCCAGTCTGGGCAACAGAGTGAGACTCTGCCTCAAAAAAAAAAAAAAAAAGAAAGAAAGAAAATGTAAGTCAACACATTAGAAAGTGAATGCCAAAAATGGTTTAAGACAAAGAAGAGCCAAAAAGAAAATGTTGAATGTGGTTCAGCAAGCCAGCTACAATGTGATAGAAAGTAATTTGACTGTGACCATGAAGTGAGGGCTGATGACATTTTGGAAAGAAACACTTCTAGGTAGTATTGCTGAGGGAGTCTGTGGTTTTTGTGTCCATCTTATAAATTACAGAACCTCTTTCGTTCAGCACAAGCACACGAAAGGCTTTGCTTTATTATTTCTCAGACCATCTCATCTCAGGCTTGTGTATGAAATTGTCCTGGTCCTCAAACGCGTGCTCATTTTTAAGTCCTTTATATCCCACTGCTTCCCATGGGCAGTCTTGCTCATATCCTGGGAGCTCCTGTTCTTTCAGACCCAAAGGAACCCAAGCAGAAATCTTTGTATGTATATGTATGAAGAAGTTGTCTGTTTTTAGGAGTTGTATGTAAAAGCTAAGGAAACCTTTTCTTTTGGAAGATCAGTATAAACATGCTGCTTTTGGTAAAATTCTTTTGAGCCATTTCATCTAAATATAACTTCTGTTTCATTTTTTTTTCTAAATATAACTCAGAGTTTAATGAGGGCTTTTCACATGGAACAAGCTTTTGAGAGGGCCTGTGTTGCTGAAGTTTTCGCCCTTGGATTGCTGGGGTGATATTGGTGACAAACTCTGTAGGGAAGGACTGGGAACCTGTCAATCTTTTTTCTTTGGTTGGGTGGATTGGGCAGGGAATAGCTGACTTGATTTGTTATAAGTTTGGAAGGTTATAGTTTGGTCACATTCTTCATTGATCACACTTTTAGGGATTCTTGAAGAAAAGGGAAGCAAAACATACACACACACCCCCACCCAATCTAACAGCGTATTCCAGCCTTTACAGTGATGTGCAGTGTTACTAAAATAATTGGGAAATAAAAAAGAGTATAAATGATTAACTCGCTGGAAAATCTTTTAAATCTTCTATAATAGGAAGGCCCTACTTACATTCTAATTTAGAGACACCTTTTACATGCCAACCTAGGGAAATTTAGATTTACACTTTTCTTTTTTTTTTTCTTTTCTTTCTTTTTTTAGACAGGGTCTCACTCTGTCGCCCAGGCTGGAGTGTAGTGGTGTGATCTTGGCTCACTGCAACCTCCACCTCCTGGGTTCAAGTGATTCTCCTGCCTCAGCCTCCTGAGTAGCTGGGATTACAGGTGCGTGCCACCACGCCCAGCCAATTTTTGTATTTTTAGTAGAGACAGGGTTTCACCATGTTGGCCAGGCTGGTCTCGAACTCCTGACCTCGTGATCCACCTGTCTCGGCCTCCCAAAGTGCTGGGATTACAGGCGTGAGCCACTGCGCCCAGCCTAGATTTGCACTCTTAAAACTAATTCCTAACTCTTAAACTTCTTCAACTGAAGTCTATTGGATACCTATCATGGGCAATGGCTAAGGGACCATGGGAAACAAGATAAGACCCAGGCTTTGCCCTAAAGGATTTAAAAATTAAGTAGGAAAGAAGTCATGGTAGCACTGTAATAAGAAGTTAAGAGGTAGTAAAGTCTGGAGAAGCATTTTCATAATAGAAATTGAGAAAAATTACTTCCTGGGTGATCCAAGAAGGCAGGTCGAAGAAGTAGGTTTAAACTGGTCCTTAAAACTCAGTCATTCTTTAATCCAGGTAATTCTTGTTAATTTAGAAGAATGTAAATAGTAAGAGGAGGCATTTAGAGTGAAAAAGTGGAAGTCTTCCTTCACTCTCATCTTGAGGTGGGAGCCAGGACCAGGAGAGTGAAGACATGGAGGAAGGAAAAGTTCAGGGCGATTTGGGGGTAATGCAGCTTATTTCAGTTCCATTTGCCTGGAAGGAGAAGGGGCCAGGACATGGGCTAGGGGACCTAGAATGCCATGGAAGGAATCTGATCTTATTTAAGAGGCAGCAGAGAACCATCAGAAGTTAGGCTGGGAAGTGATGTGACTTGTACACATGGCTAGAAAGATAATGGTGGATTGGAGGACGAGGACCTGGAAGGGGATAGAGCAATTAGACTCACAGGAGTCAGGGGTGAGGTGAAAAGGGCTTCAGAGTAGCAGAGTGGAAAGGAAAGGTGGGATGGGAGGAAATAGGATTCTTGTCTGTACCTCTTTGGGGAGGGGAGGTACCAGATCCAGAAAGTGGCTGATGTCACAGTTAATTCCTGGTGTCCAAGCTCAGGCACCTGGAGACTGACTTCTGTGGGTGGGGAGGCCTCCCCAGTCTCTACCTCCCCAGTGGTGGACAGATGCTTACTGAATATTTTGGCGATGACAGAGCCCACACAGTCTATGAGAGGCTCTCATTGGGAGGAACCCTCGGTTTCATTGGAGACACGTTAGGTGTGAGGGGATGTTGAGGGGATGATTGAAACTGGCTGATGTAAGAGAGGTATAGAAGTAGGAGAAGGGATGCTTAGAGCAGGGACAGAAGTCGTTGGAGGAGGATGGAAGGGAGCATTGGGTAAGGTAGGAGAAGCACTTAGGGACTCCCCTCCCCCTTTCTTTTCCTCCATGGTGGAAGCTGGAGGGAAAGAAAGTGGGAGGCCAGGTGCAGTGGCTCATGTCTGTAATCCCAGCTCTTTGGGAGGTCAAGGCGGGTGGATCACCTGAGGTCAGGAGTTCGAGATCAGCCTGGCAAACACAGTGGAAACCCTGTCTCTACTAAAAATACAGAAATCAGCTGGGCGTGGTGGCAGGTGCCTGTAATCCCGGGTACTCAGGAGGCTGAGGTAGGAGAATCACTTGAACCCAGGAGGCGGCACCTGTATCCCAGCTACTTGGGAGGCTGAGGCAGGAGAATTGCTTTAACCTGGGAGGCAGAGGTTGCAGTGAGCTGAGATCGCACCATTGCACTCCAACCTGGGCAACAAGAGTGAAACTCCATCTGAAAGGAAGAAAGAATCCAGCCTGGGCAATAAGAGCGAAAGAGAGAGAGAGACAGAAGAGAGAAAGAAAAGAGAGTGTCCTTGGTGTTAGATGCCACAGAGAGAGAGGGGACAAGAAGATCGAGGAGTCAAGAGGAGCTTTTGAGCCAGATGCTGTGGCTTGTGCCTGTAATCCCAGCTACTCAGGAGGCTGTGGCAGAAGGATATTTTGAGGCCAGAAGTTCAAGACCAGCCTGTACAACATTGCAAGACCCAATCTCTAACAAAATTTTAAAACTTGTCCGGGCATGGTGGTAGCTCAGGAGTTCAAGGCTACAGTGAACTATGATTGTGCCACTGCACCCCAGCTTGGGTGACAGACAGTGAGACCCTGTCTCTAAGAAATAAATAAAAATAAAAAATAAGAGGAGCTTTTGGAATTCAGCTATTAGGAAGTTACTGGTGCCCATGGAGGGAAGTGTTCCAGGCAAGTGGTGGTGTTAAAGGTAGAGAGAAGAGACATTAGCTCAGTGCTTCCCAAATAGGATAGCCAAGGCGCCAAGCTGCAGACTGATCTCAGGTGTGGCCCAGTGCCTCCCCCTCAGCTGGAACCCCAGACCAGACTCCTGCAGTTTCAAGCAGCCTCCTCCTTCTATCCCGGTGTACCTTCCATATCTCAGTACCACCACGGGGAACCTCAAAGACTCGACAACCCATTTCAAAAGCCTGGCTATGGAAAGAAGAGGAAAGGGAGGAGCCGCAAGTTTGGGAGAAAGTGTATTTGGGATGCTGGAGTGGGAGCCTGTTTGTAGGAGCCATAGGGCAGGCTTGAAGATGAATGGGAAAGAAGATGAGAGGAAGAGGAGGTGAGACTGAGAGCTTCAAAAGCAGGTAGGCTTCTTACTTCATCCGTGGAGGGTGCTGTATAGTAGGTGTCCCCCCAGCTTTAAAGACGAGCCCAAGACTTGAAGATGAGGTTGTAGGGGAATGCAGAGGTGAGTTGGCAGAAATGGATAGTGTGCATTGGAGGACCAGATGGCTTCTTGGTATTCTCAGGAAAACCAAGGGCAAGTTGGCTAGAGTGGGGGCCTTGGAATTTTGTTGGCAGTAGGGAGACTGCAGGAACTTCCTCTCCATCCTCTCATAAAGCCCAAAATGTTGGGAACCTTTTAGCTACATGTTAGATAATGAAATGTTTGTGTATTGATTGAAAGGAAGACATGGCACACCTGGGAAATTTTCCCTCCTTTTATTATCTGGAGCTGGCTGATGTTGAAGAGGGATAGAGCATCAAAATACGCTTTGTGTCCTGGTGTGGTGGCTCATGCCTGTAATCCCAACACTTTGGGAGGCCAAGGCGGGCAGATTGCTTGAGCTCACGAGTTCGAGAGCAGCCTGGGCAATATGGCGAAACCCCATTGCTACAAAACATACACAAACTTAGCTGGGCATGGTGGTGGGCACCAGCTTCTTGGAAGGCTGAGGTGGGAGGATCACTTGAGCCTGGGCATGGAGGTTGTAGTGAGCCATGATCACGCCACTGCACTCCAGCCTGAATGACAGAGTGAGACCCTGTTTCCAAAAAAAAAAAAAATGTGTGTGTGTGTGTGTGTGTGTGTGTGTGTGTTGTGTGTATATATATAATATATATATATATATACACACACACACAACACAGACACAATTTGTGTGTAGCTAGGGGCAGATATTGAGATATTGAAGTGATAAGTAACTGGGGATGGGGAAGTACTGGTCACTTAAGAGCATATAGAAAACCGTCCCAGATTGTCTTTTCTAATCTATTTTTGGAGGAGGTTTTTATATATCCCATGTTTTATATTATTTCTCCCAAACCGGATTAGATATAGTGAACAATAAAATAAATGCAGTTTCCAAAACCTTGGTGTTCAGAAATGAAGGGAACCATGAGGGGAGTGAAGGGGACTTGCCCTTTGCTCTGTGCTGTATGCACTGCCCAGGGAACAGCCCCAGGACACTTCTATAGTTTCTTTCTGAGACTCACAAGGTGTTAGCAATGCTCTGAGCTCACTCAATTGACAGATACGTTTAAGGTTCTCAAATAAATTTCAAACTTCTAAATTTTTCCTTTTCATTGTGTGCATAATGTACAGATTAGGAAAATGATCTTCTAATTGAGAAGTATACTTCAAAGTTTGGAAATAAAATCATAAAAATGTTTTCCTAAACATAGCCTTTTTCAGGAGTTTTTGTGGATATGGTCAAAGGCAATAGCTCTAATTATCTGGGGTCCTCAGGACAGGAAATGAGCTCACACTCATGCTCTCAAACTGTGTCACAGCATTTTTGGAAATATTTTCATTTCTATTCAAGAGGAGGAACAAGGCCCCAAGTGTTCACCCTAATTGTAGAAAATAAACATAAACATGAAATTCACAAAAGAACAACTATAAATGGCTGCAAATATGTGAAACTATGTTTAACTTCCCAGGGAGTCAAAAAATACTAATTAATACAAGAATCATCTTTGGCCCACCACATTATGATTTTGTCTGAATAAGCCTCTTCAATGCTGGCAAATATGAGGTAAAATGGCTGCTCCGGCTGCTCTTTTTGGCTGGTCTTAAGGGGCGCAAATAGCTCCACCCCATTTGGAAAGCACTTGGCAATGGCTGCTAAGACTTTAGTGTTTTTCATAGCTTCTAACCTGCTAAGAAGTAGATACTTGTTCCCATTTTGCTGCTGTGCAAACAGACTTGTAGAGGTCAAGTATCTCGTACAAGGTTACATTGATGGTGATTGATGGCGCCAAGATTTGAACTTGGTTGTGAGTCCAAAGTCTAGGTCTCCCATTCTACCCATGTGATTTTACACACATGCCTGATATAATTAGCTCCTCCTCCTCTCCAGAGAAGGGCAGCTGACCTTTGTTTCCCAGTTCAGAAATCCTGGTGTGAGTTATCAGCTGGGGTTGAGGGTGGATAGATTTGTTCCAACTTTACACATTGGACCTGAGAATGTACTTTCCTGAATAAACAGTTGTAGAAGCGAGTGACAGTTGTGGTTGAAGTTGTTCCCCCAGTGCAGTGCCCCAGAGGGGTTAATGACCTTTCGTGGGCTGTCCCAGGAACTTCATCCGAGGAAAAGGTGCTTACCTGCTAACATTTGACCTGTTTGGAAATTGGGGATTGTTTTTCCTCATTGAAATTGGTGAGGGTTGGAAGAATACGCAAACGAATGTTTGGTGTGGAAGAACGCTGGAGGAGTAAACTTACTATACTCACAATTTGGATTACAACATAGTTTGGTTAACCCAGCTCTGGTGAACCAAATGTACAAGTATTATTTCCTTATGGTTCATCTTATAAAATATTTTATAAATTGGTTGCTTTCTTTAAGCTCTCCACAAATGAAAAATCAGTCCCAAAAATCTATAAAAGACTATTTCAGCGTTAATTGACCATTAAGGAAATACATACTAGGCTGCATGTGGTAGCTCACGCCTGTAATCCCCACACTTTGGGAGGCTGAGGCAGACAGATAGCCTGAGCTCAGGAGTTCGAGACCAGCCTGGGTAACTTGGCAAAACCCTGTCTCTACAAAAAAAAAAAAAAAAACAAAAACCAAAAAAAACATTAGCCAGGAGTGGTAACGTGTGCCTGTAATCGCAGCTACTCAGGAAGCTGAGGTGGGAGGATTGCTTGAGCCCAGGCTGTTGAGGCTGCAGTAAGCCAAGATTACCCCACTGTACTCCAGCCTGGGTGACAGAGTAAGACCCTGTCTCAAAAAAAAAATTTTTTTTGAACAATAAAGAAATACATACTAAACATTTACACAGTTATTTTGGGAATTGCAGAGGGGATATTTGTCTTCTTTCCCATCCCCCTTTCTCTCTCTCTCTCTGTGTGTGTGTGTGTGTGTGTGTGTGTGTGTATGTGTGTGTGTGTGTATGTATGTTTAAGATGGTTAGAAATCATGAAACTCCACCGGGCACAGTGGCTCCCTCCTGTAATCCCAGCACTTTGGGAGGCCGAGGCGGGAGGATCACTTGAGGTCATGATTTCAAGACTAGCTTGGCCACCATGGTGAAACCCCGTCTCTACTAAAAATACAAAAAATTAGCTGGGTGTGGTAGCACACACCTATAATCCCAGCTACTCGGGAGGCTGAGGCGGGAGAATTGCTTGGACCCGGGAGGCAGAGGCTGCAGTGAGCCAAGACTGGGCAAAAAAGCGAGACTTTGTTTCAAAAAAAAAAAAAAAAGAAATCATGACATTCCATACTTTTTCCTTTACTTCCCAAATTACTTTCCAATAATAGCATGGTGGAAAGATTAACAAAGGGGGCTTATGATATGGTTGACAGAAGTTGGGAGGCTTTTGGGGTCCTACCTAAGCCATCCTAGAGACCTGGGTATTGCAAGGCACTAAATCTTAGATAAATATCTTAGACCTCATTAAAGTGAATGGGGCTATTATATGTAGGAATGTCCATAGAGAATGTGTGGAGAAAGCAGAAAGGTGTAAGTTTGAGAGATGGCAACTGTGATTAAGGAACAGATGGATCTCATTGATAATGAGGAAGAAAAATGAAGTAGGAATGAGTGGTATGAAAAGCAGATCAATTTACAAGTCCAGATTTGTTGGCAGTAGTGCTTTCTGATGTTTGGGACTACACTCCCCTCTGTAAATTCCAAAAAAGGATATGTCAGGGTCATTAAACTCAGCCGGATTTGCAAGACATACCTTCTAGAGGTGGTTGGGTGTTAGTCCCTGAGATTCTTATCAAGGACCCTGCGGGAGTGTCCTCTAGCCCTCTGAGCTAGGTGGAACCATCCCGCCCACCCAACAGGTGAGGAGCACAAGCTCAGGGCAGTTGTTGACCTGCCCAAGGGCAAACAATTAGGAGTGATGGAAACAGGACTAGGGTCCAGCTGCACTCTACAGTGGTAAAGCTTCATCTTCTACCACTCAGGGAAGTACACAGCCAGCAGTGCTCCGGAGATGATGCACATCTTTTTGCTATGTTTTTATTTTATTTTATTTTATTTTATTTTTTGTTTATTTAAAAAAAAATAGAGACAGGGTCTCACTATGTTGCCCAGGCTGGTCTCGAATGCCTGGGCTCAAGTGATCCTTCCACCTCGACCTCCCAAAGTGCTGGGATTACAGGCATGAGCCACTGAGCCCAGCTGAGATGATGCACCTTGAAATACTTCTTTATCTAAAACCTAACACCTGACTCATAATAAGCGATTCACTTGTTGATTGTTGACAACATGAATATTTAAACATCAATATTAAAAAATAGCCCCATAAGCACCTTTAGTGTTCCAGGGCACTATATCACGCTGTTCTAACTCTTCCTACACTGAATTCTTGTGCATCTGATATTATCACCTCGATTTTATCCTTGAGGAAGCCAAGACTTTGACAGTAAACCAGAGGCCCAGAGTCACCTCCCCAGAAGGTGATAGAGCCAGCATTCCAGCTGTGGGGGATTCTGGTTCCACTGGGCTGCAATTTCCCTCCACTGAAAATTGAGAGCCAAATTGACGTGACAATGCATGAAAATGCCATTTGGGGCAAGATTCAAAGAAATGGTGTGTAGAAGTAAAAGATGAGTAACATCCCTCAGCATATATTCTTTTCAGTGGCATTTCTTTTCTTTTCTTTCTTTCTTTTTTTTTTTTTTTTTTTTTGAGATGGAGTTTCGCTCTTGTTGCCCAGGCTGGAGTGCAATGGCACGATCTCGGCTCACTGCAACCTCCGTCTCCTGGGTTCAAGCGATTCTCCTGCCTCAGCCTCCTGAGTAGCTGGGACTACAGGCGCCTGCCACCACGCCTGGCTAATTTTTTTGTATTTTTAGTAGAGACGAGATTTCACTGTGTTAGCCAGGATGGTCTTGATGTTCTGACCTCAGGTGATCTGCCTGCGTCGGCCTCCCAAAGTGCTGGGATCATAGGTGTGAGCCACTGTGCCTGGCTTCAGTGGCATTTCTATCCCTTTCACTTAGGAGGCATTTTTAGTACCTGACGTAGAATCAGAGCCTTAATAGCTGGTTGATTTACAGTCTCAGAGGTGGTGTTAATTGCTATCTTAATCTTTCTTTGCTTTTCTGCACTGTGCAGCTCTATTGATTCTGTTTTTCCCAATCTCCAAATTCCCTTGTGTTTTTCTTATGATATTTTGAGGTGGTACACTTGGTTCCTTAAATATCATAGGTGAGATGTTAACAGTTCTAGGTGGAGATACACGGGCAATCAATCTATTCACCCAACTTCTCTGTATGTTTGGAAAAGTTCGGAATTAAAAACCCAGGATAAATAAACTAAGGCCTATTTCTTCAGCCACATTCAAAGTCCCTGTAGTCTCACATCTGGAAACCCTGCAGTCTGCCTAGGCCGTGTCCTCCACCTCAGGCCAAGGTTGCAGCAGGTCCTTATTCTCTTGTCCATGATGAAGCTTTTCGTGGGGGGTCCGGGTAGCAAAATACTCTCACCCTGTCCTCACTCTGTGGAATCTTCCATACAACCCGAACTAGGGATTGCTTGTGTGTCCCCCTCCCACCTGTCACTCTTTCCCCACCCCTCCCCACGTGATGCTGTGGGAACCCAAACCCCAGCACCTCCTAGATGAGGGCAGTGGTAGGGCGCTAGGTGGAGATGGGGAGAGGAGGAAAGACAGGGAGGGGACTCCTGGCTCTTGGGGTCCAAGGGGATTCCAGAGAAAGTGAGGGAGGGGAGCCCCAGTCCCAGAGATTGAGGAGGACAGGATCTTGGTGGTCCCAGCTGGGCCAGGGGCCCCAGGACCCTAGCATTAAGGTGTAGCCCCTGTGCCACTTGTGGATGAAGCTGCCCTTGGGGATCCACTCACTGGCAGACGTGGTGGTGTCTGGGTGTTAAATCTATACACCATATGTAATAATGGTGGGCATCTGTTTGGTGCCTTAGTTTGTTGCCTCGCTCATACTCCTGACCAGCCCCACATCCTCGTGCATGTGTGGGTGTAACTTTACATTGGATATACAGATGCGACTGGACTTTAAATGGGCTTACATCTGGATAAACCCATCGTAAAGTCAAAAAAATATTAAGTTGGACCATCATAGGTTAGGGACTGTCTGTAGTTTTTACTTATTAATTATGTTATTGACTTAAACTATGTTCTGGGTGGGATGCATAGAGGAGAGTTACCATGGGAGGGTAAGAGTATAGTAGGAGTATTAGAGTGCATGAGCTGAAAACACTTTGCTTTCTACTTTACAACATAAGCTTTTTTTGTTATAAAATCCTTGTTAGGGAGAGTGAGACGCTGGTGCTGAAGCTTTGGAGTGGAAAATGGGTCATCTTCACAAGGGTGTTCCCAGATGATGCAAAGGAGAGTTAATGCAGGAAGGGGCTGGGATGGGGAGAGTCTGTGGAGTCTGAGACAGCCCTTTAATAAGCAGTTCCTTGGACCTTGCATGGAAAGAGAGGAGAGGAACTTGTGTGGAAAGAAAGAAGCCCAAGGCTTGAGGGATGGAGAATATTCTACTAACAGGCCACCCCTTGTCCCTCCAGGTGGCAGTGTGTCTAGGGGGGTCTGGAACTTGGGTTTTGACCAGGGTTTGCAGAGCACTGAATCCCAGCCGCGTCATGAGTTGGCTGTGTCCCTATGCCCCAGGGCCCCCCTCAGGGAGAATGGGGATAATGATAGTCATAATGATAAATGGGGACAGATAATGCTTTGAGAAGCACTGAAGTAACATTTTGTC
This sequence comes from Homo sapiens, assembly GCF_000001405.40. Classification (NCBI taxonomy): domain Eukaryota; kingdom Metazoa; phylum Chordata; class Mammalia; order Primates; family Hominidae; genus Homo; species Homo sapiens. The sequence goes on from NW_025791763.1 coordinate 74,759, forward strand.
TGAATGGACTGTGTTTTAAAATCAGGAGTTGTTCGAGGCTGAAATGAAATATCAGCATCATAGAATCTCCAGGATATAAAAAGAAATTAGAAATGTTACCAAAATAATATACAGTATTATCACAACTTTATTAAGATGTTTAGTAGCCAAATATTTTAACCAGCATCTTAACAAGTGGATCTTTTCTTACAGTATTTAATTTTTTTTTTTTTTTTTTTTGAGACGGAGTTTTGCTCTTTTGTCCGGGCTGAAGTGAAGTGGCGCGATCTTGGCTCACTGCAACCTCTGCCCCCCCAGGTTCAAGCGATTCTCTCTCCTGCCTCAGCCTCCTGAGTAGATGGAATTATAGGCGCCTGCCACCACACCCAGCTAATTTTTGTATTTTTAGTAGAGATGGGGTTTCACCATGTTGGCCAGGCTGGTCTTGAACTCCTGACCTCAGGTGATCCACCCGCCTTGGCCTCCCAAAGTGCTAGGATTACAGGTGTCAGCCACCGCGCCCAGCCCTTAAAATTTTTTTTATAGGAAATGACTAAATGGAGTCAGGGGAGAGGCCAGAAATGCATAAACAAAAGCAATTAGTATTTAGTGCGGGTTTTGAATTTACATGGTTGTCAATTCCCTTTGCAAAAACTTAACAAATTACTTTAACATAATTGCCAGTTTGTGTGAGTTCTTGATCAAATAGCTATCAACAAGATAATGTGCATATATATGTGTGTATATGTGTATATATGTATATACACATATACACATATGTGTGTATATGTGTATACACACACACACTAACTTTATAAATAAGTTGAAATTTATATGTAGGATATATGTAAGCAGTATAGTATATAAATATAAATTACATTTTAACTTTTAATTTTATAATAATTTCAGTCACAGAAAATATACAAAAATAGCACAAATAATTCCCTTGTACTTTCCCCTAAATTTGCCTTCTTTCTGTAACTTTTTTTTTTGAGATAGAGTCTGGCTGCAACGCCCAGGCTGGAGTCAGTGGCGCCATCTCAGCTCACTGCAGCCTCCGCCTCCCGGGTTCACGCCATTCTCCCACCTCAGCCTCCCAAGTAGCTGTGATTACAGGCACCTGTCATTACACCTGGCTAATTTTTGTGTTTTTAGTAGAGACAGGGTTTCACTATGTTGGCCAGGCTGGTCTCAAACTCCTGACCTCAAGTGATCTGCCTGCCTCAGCCTCCCAAAGTGCTGGGATTACAGGCGTGAGCCACCGCGCCCGGCTCTGTAACTTTTTTCTGAGCCATTTGCAAGTAAGTTGCAGGCGTAATGTCCCTTTACTTAAGGGGGCATAATTTGTTAGATTGCATCTCTGATACTATAGAGCATATTTGTGACTCTAAATAAGATGAAGGGACAAGATACGTTCTAAAAACAAGGACATTCGCCAAAGTGTAATTACTGAAATCGGGAAATTAACATAGAGACAGTACAATTGTCTCATCTATGGAACTTATTAAGATTTTGCCAGTTGTCTTACTGATAGATGTCTTTTGTAGAAGAGGAAAACATTTTTACTTTTATTTATTCATTTTTTTTGGCTTTAGGATGAGTTCAACATCACATCTTATGCTTAATTGTCTCTTAGTCTCCTTTAGTCTGGAAGTTCTTCGGCCTGTCTCTCATGTTCTTGACTCTTTTTTTTTTTTTTTGAGACGGAGTCTCGCTCTGTCGCCCGGGCTGGAGTGCAGTGAAGCGATCTCAGCTCACTGCAACCTCCACCTCCCGGGTTCACGCCGTTCTCCTGCCTCAGCCTCCTGAGTAGCTGAGACTACAGGCGCCCGCCACCACGCCTGGCTAATTATTTGTATTTTAGTAGAGACGGGATTTCACCGTGTTAGACAGGATGGTCTCGATCTCCTGACCTCGTGATCCACCCGCCTTGGCCTCCCAAAGTGCTGGTATTACAGGCGTGAGCCACCGCGCCCGGCCATGTTCTTGACTCTTTAAAGATTACAGGCCATTTATTTTGCAGAAGAACCTTGACTTTTTTTTTTTTTTCTGGTGTTTCTTCATGAGTAGCTTTAGGTTGTACATTTTGGGCAGGAAAGATAGGGTGTTCTTATTGTATCTCCTCAGGAACGTTATCTATTTTTCCCATTATAGGTGATACTAATTTTGTTTTCTTGGTTAAAATCATGTGTTCCAGCTTTCTCCAAGAAAGTTACTACTTTTCTTCTTTGTAATTAATCAGTACTTTATGGGACATACTTTGAGACTATGTAAATATCCCATTTCTCATCAAACCTTTACCCAATGGTTTTAGTGGCCATTGATGATTCTTGCCAGAAACAATTTCCACTGTGACAGTTGCCAAATTGATGATCAGTTTTTAAAAATTGACAGTGTAGGGCAGGAGCAATAATTTTTTCAGTTGCTAGATTGTTTCTGTGACACTATAGAACATATTTGTGCATACTAAATAAGGTGAAAGTATGAGATATCTTGGGGTCTCTCATTTTTAAAAAATAACAGGTTTATTTTCTCTGAAGCTTTTATAGTCTTTATTATGTCTGGATCAAAGATGATTTATCAAGAAACTATACTGCAAGATTTTGGAGTTTTTTCCTTACGAAATGTTGAGATAGCAAAGTTGACATTCTGCTCAGCATTTTTCATAGGATGTGAGTAACTTCCTAATTAGGTTTTTATCTTGATGACTCCTGTGGAGTTTTTCACAGTCTGGATTTTGCTAAGTGCAACCTCATGATATCTTTTAACATGTTGCTCTATCCACTGAAGTTCTTGAAAATTATTAGATTTAGATTTTTGGTCAAGATTCAGAGTGTTTCTCTCTCTCTCCCATTCCCTCTCTCCTTTTTTAACTTATTTTTGCAAGACTGCTTCATATAATAGATGTTGTTTTCCATCAGAGATACTGATTATCTCTCTGTGATGTCAGCAGCTACTAATTATCAGCACCCACATCCTTTACCTCATTTGCAGTTTCAAAATGGTGATAGTCTATTTGTATCATTCCCTTGTCTATCAGTTATAATATTTTTAAAAAGAGAAACTACCCCTCACCAACTCTTTAGTTACCTCAGATCAGAGGTCAGCAAACTAGAGTCTACAGGCTGAGACCAGTTTGCCACTTACTTTGATAAATAAAGTTTTATTAGAACACAGCTATATTCATGCATTTGCATATTGTTTAGGGCAGCTTTGGGGCACTACAAGGTGCCCAGTTAATTAGCTGTGATTGAAGCCATATGTGGCCCACCGAGCTGGAAAGATTTTCTGTCAGGCCCTTTGCAGTAAAAATTTGCTGACCCTTGTTTTAGATCATATGGGGAAAGCAATTTAAATGCCTCATTCTTTCCCTTTATATACCAGTTTCCTCCTGGTTTCATGGCACCCTGTAAAGGTGACCAATGAAGCTTAAAATATTATGAAATAGATTTAAACCTACTTAATGTCTTTCAATCCATTTGCAATTATTATCCTTATTGATACCCAAACTGTCCCATCTTTAGCCAGGGGGAGCCTCTTCAGGCTGGCTTCTGAGTCCTTGTGACACAATCCTGGTGGTCTTGGATGCTTCTCTGCTTACTGGTCTGGCAGGATACTCCAGCACACCTTGTACATTTCTTGTCCCAGGCCAGGAGCTGGCCATTTCTAGAAGAAGCTCTGTCTTCTTTTAGTGGAGAATGTTACTTACAGACCACTGTCTGAACCCTAGGGTTGCATATATAGCTACTAAAGGTTATTGTGTTTAATGTTATGAGTGCACTAAGCAGTTCTGTAGCGACTAGAGGTAGAATATAATATGCCTATTGTAATTTTAAAACAATAAGCATTTATTTGCTCTAAAAGGATATACCATTCTCTCTCTCTCTTTTTTTTTTTTTTTGAGACAGAGTCTCACTCTGTCACCGAGGCTGGAGTGCAGGGGCGCGATCTTGGCTCACTGCAACCCCAGCCTCCCAAGTTCAAGCAATTCTCCTGCCTCAGCCTCCCAAGTAGCTGAGATTACAGGCACGTGCCACCATGCCCGGCTAATTTTCGTAGTTTTAGTAGAGACAGGGTTTCACCATGTTGGCCAGGCTGGTCTTAAACTCTAGACCTCGGGTTATCTGCCCATCTCGGCCTCCCAAAGTGCTGGGATTACAGGTGTGAGCCACCACGTCCAGCCTAGTCTCTTTTTTTAAATGTACTCTTAATATTGGTGATTCTGTTCATCAATCCCCCTACTTAATAGTTGTATAATTTTACATGATAATTGCTTTCTACATAAAATTAATATTTTTCATGCTTATATTTTACTCTTTCAACAAAAAATAAGCATATATATATTTCTACCAACTGATACATTTCAAGAGATAAGGGTCACAAGGAGATTTTCACTCAAGTTGCACGTGGAATGTTTACCTGTTTTTGAAAGGGCATGCTCAGATAATGACAGCAGATTTGAACAATGCTTCGTTTCCTTAGTTCTCACATTGCTACATGGATGGGATATGTTGGTCACCTATGTGATTACATCATCATCAATCAGGCAGAAGTTCAGTCCTTCTGAAGATTCATGCTAAAGCTGGATAACAGATTTCCATTGACTAGTATAGGCTGAAGCCATACTTTGATGTATTCCCAGGATCTACCTCATAGTTGCAAAGATTAAATAAGGTTGCATATAAGCATGTAGAACAGTGCCTGGCACACACAGCAAGGGTTTTGTTAAGATAAACTCATTATCTGTTTTAGTGGTCCTGGGTTTCATGATCTTGCTAGCCTTTATAAATTTTTTTTTTTTTTTTTTTGAGATGGAGTCTTGCTCTGTCACCCAGGCTGGAGTACAGTGGCACGATCTTGGCTCATTGCAAGCTCCGCCTCCCGGGTTCACGCCATTCTCCTGCCTCAGCCTCCCAAGTAGCTGGGACTATAGGTGCCCACCACCACGCCCGGCTAATTTTTTGTATTTTTAGTAAAGATGGGATTTCACCGTGTTAGCCAGGTTGGTCTCGATCTCCTGACCTTGTGATCCACCCACCTCGGCCTCCCAAAGTCCTGGGATTACAGGCGTGAGCCACTGCACCCGGCTAGCCTCTATAAAATTTAATCTCTACACTGCACTATTCCTAGGACACTAACTTATGTTTAATTTTGGATTGCTAGTTTTCTAGAATACATATTCTTAAGTATGTTGGCTGTCATATTTCTCTTTTGATGATCATTGTCGCTAACACCATTCTTTGCACACAAAGTCTGCCTTCTTTCTGCATATGTGTGAATATCTGTTACTGTTGATTTACATTTCCCTCTTTTTTATGCACAGTATGTAATAAAATAAACAGCAAAAGCTGTCTTCCTCTTAGACATTTTAGGTTAACAAGGGAAATCATTGTTCACTTCGGGTATCTTTCCATGTGTAATTTTTGATAAGTTGATTACTGGTGGTTGTTCATTTTTATTTTGCTTTTTATGGAAGTTTTCTCAATTCGTCCCAGAATTGAGGCTGTACATCCTTTAAAAATAAATAAAGCCGAGGTCTGTGCTAGAGTTAGAACATTGAATCTGGCTCGCTGGTTTGTGCTATGGACTTTCCTTCATCTGTGTTACTGGGAGTATGTGAGCAGTTGTAGAGGCCATATCGTTTTATAGGCCTGTGCCAAGGAAAATACTTGAGAATTACATTAGCAACTCCAAGGTATTTTGGCTGCTCTGAGAGGACACATGATAGTTTTCCAGTTATATGAACAAGAGCTTTTGTTTTATACTGAAGTTTCTTATAGGCTATGAGAACAATAGTGCCTCTTTAAGTACTTCCCAGAGTAACATCCTTGGGATGTTATTAGGTAGAACGTGCTGGGCTTCATTTCTGCAGGACTTCTCAGGCCTTTAACATGCCAGTGAATCTCACAGAAGGGAGTGTATTATGCAGGATTCCTTGGGTTTGTTTGACCAAGGCTTTCCTTGTGTTTGGAATACTACCCCTCCACCTACTCCCCGTCACCCCATGCGTAAGTCTCACCTCATACTTCCCTGCCTCCCAGCCTTAGATGTGGTTTCCCTGCTGTAAGTTCTCAGCTCTCTGTACTTGAGCACATTTCACTGTCGGTAAATATGTGGCCTAATAATGATCTGATCCTCTGGATCTTAAACTCACTGAAGAAGGCAGGCAGTGGATTTGTTTTGTTCCTTCCCTCCTGTGTTCTCAGCACCAGATATAAGGAAGGCCGTCAAACAAGTATTTGCCGTCCAAGTGAGTGAGGCACCCATAGAACTTTTTTTTTTTTTGAGACAGTTTTGTTCTGTTGCTTAGGCCAGAGTGCGGTAGCACAATTTCAGCTCACTGCAACCTCTGCCTCCCGGGTTCAAGCAACTCTCCTGCCTCAGCCTTCTGAGTAGCTGGGACTACAGGTGCGTGCCACCATGCCTGGCTAATTTTTGTATTTTTAGTAAAGACGGGGTTTCACCATGTTGGCCAGGCTAGTCTCAAACTCCTGACCTTGTGATCCTCCTGCCCTGGCCTCCCAAAGTACTGGGATTACAGGTCTGAGGCACCACACCCAGCAGAACATTTTTTCTCCAAGTAGCATCTCATGGTGAGAGGTGAAGCCAGCTGGACTTCCTTGGTCGAATGGGTACTTGGAGAACTTTTCTGTCTTACGAGAGGTTTGTAAAATGCACCAATCAGCACTCTGTAAAATGGACCAATCAGCACTCTGTAAAATGGACCAATCAGCAGGACATGGGCGGGGACAAATAAGGGAATAAAAGCTGGCCACCCCAGCCAGCAGCAGCAGCAACGCTCTGTGGAAGCTTTGTTCTTTCGGTCTTCACAATAAATCTTGCTGCTGTTCACTCTTTGGGTCCGTGCCACCTTTAAGAGCTGTAACGCTCACTGTGAAGGTCCACAGCTTCATTCTTGAAGTCAGCGAGACCATGAACCCACTGGAAGGAACCAATTCTGGACACAGTGGGACTTGTGCTCCACAGAACCCACTTTGAGAACCATAGATTGGTCTATGGAACTGCTCTAGTCTTCGTACTTCATTTTCAAGTACAAATCACTAGAATACTATAGATCTTCATAATTCTAGTTAATTTACTTCATGTTTTCAGCTAACAGGGAACTGTTAACTAATTTAAAGATGAGGCTCAGCACTTGAAATAGATTGTCTTAGTGGCCCACAGAGAATCAGCCAGGATTAGGACGTTAATTTCCTGATACCTGTCCTAGGGCCAGTTACCCACCAGGCCCGTCTGCACCCCACTCTAACATTGTTAGTTACATAAATAGGAACCAGTGTTTTAGACTGTTGGGGGAGGGGGGAAATCAGATGCCCCTTTGTACACTAATTAACGCAGGCAGAACAAAAGGCCCAGCTTGGTTTTCAAGTTCAAGTTTGGCTCATATGTGGTCCTCAGTGAAGATTATGATCTTGAATAAATTAAAAACAAATGTTAAAGAAGTCATAATGAGGTAAAAAAAGGAGTTCAGGATTCTGGCCTTTAAAGACTCAGGGTAAACAGACTTCTCTTTAAAGCTGATGTTCACCTCCCCTCCTCCACTTTACCAGTCCCTCTTTGGAACTTCTGTGTTCCGTCTTCGTGATAATTGTTCATTTTTACTTCAGTGAGCCAAGTGGGTAGGTATGTACGTCTATGGTCTCATGTCGGTGAGCACAAGCCTCATTCACCAAGCTCTGCTGAACTAGGAAAATAGTACATTGAGAAGTCTGGTCAAATCCACTAAGTCAAAGGGATTTGCACATTTGGCAAAATGCCCTCTTCCTCAGGAATGACCACCGCAGCCTGCTGCCCCAGTCCAGCTTCAGCTTCCTTTTCCTCCAGGGTGCTCAAGGCGAGTGTTCAGGAAGGGAGCACACAGAATCCCCCTGTGTTCGTCTCCCCCAGGCCAAGTTCCCAGTACATTCTTGACCAGGGCAGACCAGATGTGGGGAGCTCTGGGGCCAGTGCGTTTATGCACTAAATGGGACTCTGTATGTATATGCCAAATTAAGTCTGCAGGCAGTCTTTACGAGCACAGTAACCGTTTTACAGATGTAAAGAAGCTCAAAAGTCCTGTGTATGTTTGTAGTCTCATTCCCTGTAAAGTTTCCATGAGCACATTTCAAGGCCTCTGTACACAGAAATTGAGTTCCTCTGCTCTCACCAGCTTACCTCTTCACTGTATCAAAGTTCGCATCTTATTATTCTGTGTGTGTATGTGTATACGCGCATGCATGCACATGTGTGCATGATGAATAAGTTCTCAGCTTGGGGCAGCATTGCTGCCCAGGAGACATTTGGCAATGCCTGGAGATATTTTGGTTAGAAATATTTTGGTTAGAAATATTTTGGTTAGACTTGGGTGGGGCTGGGGGCACATTCTACTAGCATCTAGAGGGTAAAGGTCAGGGATGTTGCTAACCATCTTACAATGCATAGGATGGTTCCTCACAACAAAGAATTATCTGGCCCCAAATGTCCATAGCCGAGGCTGAGAATCCCTGGTGTACATATACACATATTATATATACACACAAATAAAAACATATTCAGTATATATTTATTTACTGGAAGAGGCCTTAGAGACCCATTTGAATTTTAGTTATAGTTGAGGAAACTGAGGCTCAGAGAGGTGAACAGTGTTCCTAATGTCACAAAGCTCTTGAGAAGCATAGCAGGCCCAGAACTTGGGCTTCTGGCTTCTCTGAACAGTGCTTTTTGCAGTGATAATAGTTCTTTCCGAACTACTGCTAGATTGAGAACCCTCATTCTTTGGGTGTTCTCTGTGTCCCAGAGGAATATTGCATGCATTACTTTGTTTAGTCCTCAGAATGACCCTGCAAGTAGGAACTGGTTATTCATCCTTTACTCAAGAGGAAATCAAGGCCCAGAGAGGTCAAGATCCTTGCCTGAGGCCATTCAGCAAGCCTGGGGCAGGGACTGGCTTGGAAACCAGATTCACCCAGCCCCTGCCATGTGGCACCACCTCCCCCAGGGCCATGCTGACAGCTTGTGTAAGCCTGAGGGACAAGGCAGTGAAGATGCTGAACTGGGGACCCATGGGGTTCCTTCCAATAGTTGCATTCTGAAACTCCAGTTTGGAAATGGTTAATAATGCCTGAACCTTGTCCCTAAGAGGCCCTGAGCTATTGAACCCATGGGGTTTTCGGGTCTGCAGCCATTGCTTAGGAGGCCTCTGGGTGAAGAGCAAGAATGATGGTGGCCAATCTACCTGCAAGGACCAGGGGAGCTGGGTAGGGGCAGGATGGAGGGGCCCTGACTGGCTCTCCTGCCTTCCCCTCCCCTCCTCTCCCTCCTTCCCTCCTTAAGGGAGGTCTCGGGGTTAATGCGAGGTGAGGGGCAGTTAGTGGTAATTGTTCATCATTTGTGCAGATGGGGGCATGGCTTTTAGAGGTGCCTTCTGGGATGGAGAGAGCCTGGGAACTCAGAATGCTACATGGCGGACAGAGGAAAGCAGGCATTTCCAGGGAAGGAGGAAGGACTGGAGTTGCTCCTGGGAAGGTCAGCTTTACAGACTCCTGGCCATAGTGGTGTAAGGTGCTAGCTGAGTGGGCAGAAGGCGGGGCAGGGGCTAGGAGAGCTGACAGCAAGTGTGGTGCATGGCCCTCAACGTCCACCCCAGTCTAGTCCAGGACTCCTGCTCTGGCTTCTGCAGCCAAACCCAAACGGACTGGTAAATGACTTCATTTAACTTCCCGTGCCCACCAGCATGGCACTTTAGAACATAGGAGACCCAGTCCCCTCTGGGAGTCCTCTCTCTCCCCTCTCCTTTTGGGTCTGGTGTCCAGGAGACCATGCACATGACTCCGTGTGAAGCTGAAGCCAGTCCAGAACTCCGAGGCCCAAACCCCTGCAGGCTGTCTTAGTGCTTATTCAATGTATTTTGTCTTGGGGTGATATGAGCCTGTTTAAAAATAATGTCTGCCCAAACTCTTGCCTGAGAGAGGTTGGGGGCAGAAAGAAAGCTCACATTTGAGTCCTAAGAAAAGTCATTGTGTCTCTATTGCCAAAATCATGATAGCTCAGGTCAGGTTAGTTTCGGAGGTGTGATAAAGTTTTTATCTCTTTTGGAAAAAAACTCCCGGGATTTTCTATCGTGGACATATCTTTCATCTACATGTCCAGCTTTAAGAAAATGTGATTATGCCTCTCTGTAAGTGGATAATTGAGCAGAACAGCATGCTAATTTCTCTCTGTCAGGCCTTGGTTGAAGGCCGGCCCTTTGGAGGTGGTCCAGGCCCTGTGGCCACAGCTCACCTACTGAAGGGCCTCCTGGTACTGCCACAAGCTGGGACCCAGCCACACTTTCTGTTTGTCCTCGGAAGGTTTGCTCCACCCTAAGGTAGATCTCTGTTACTGAAGAATGTGTCTTTAAATCTACCTGCATTTCCATGTCTGGTTACAAATTGTCTTAACCCCAGGCAAGTTGCTGTCTCAGAGTTGGCTGCGAGGATGTTGAAGCATAACCCGGCTTTGTGGTAGAGGAGGGCTTTGTAGCACCGTGGACAGTGCGGTTCAGCCTTCGATCAATAAATAGAAGCAGGCTCCAGCTTCAGGAAAAGGGGAGTCTTGGACCGAGAGAGATTGGCGTTTGAGACAGGAAACACTTCCTGGTGTTCCTGCAGTGTCTGCGGCTTCTTCCCAGCCTTTTAGGCCTTTCCTAGGGTTTACAGACCACCCCTCGAGCCTGTGTTCTCCTCCTGATGGTGCCCAGGCGCCCGGGGCTCCCTGGGCAGACCATTCACTTCGGGAACCTGGTCTCCTGCTCAGCCTGCAGCTTCTGTAGGTTTAGCTGTCTGTTGGTTGCTCTGGGCTACTCAGGGACCAGTTGTGCAGGCACTGTCCTCTTTTGGCCTTTCTTCCGGCCTTACCAAGTTGTGGTGGTTGTCTGCATGCCCAGTGAAACCTTCTGCAGAAAGGACCAGGAAGGGCACACATTGGCTGCCTGCACTTGGGAAGATCTGAGGGAATGTGAAAGGAAACAGGTTGGCAGTTCCTGGTGCCTTCCAGACCAGTGCCTGCCCTCTCCTTTGCTTGTGGTACTGGCCCTTTGACCTACTGGAGATGGGAGAAGCCCCAGAGAAATTCAAGATCGCCTTCAGGCTTCCTTGACCCAAGGCCTGTGGGAAGGCTTGCGCCCTGGGATGCTTAGGGTGAAGTGTAACATCTGGCCTTCTCCAAGTCCCTCTCACAGCAGGCCTGGCCTGACATCCTGCCGGCCTTGCTGGTTTCCTTCTGCCCTTCACAAAGTCCCTCCTTGCTGGCTTTCTCGTGTGCCAGGGGGACCCAGCTTCCTCCACAAGCGTCTCTGTTGCTTCCCCCTTTGTTTGGCCCCCTCCTGTCCCCAGGCTCCCTGACCGATGCCCACTGGCTCTGTAGGTTTCACAGGCACCTGGGACACTGTCACATGGTGGGGGAGTTCACGCCATGTCCCATCTCCAGCCAGTGCTTTTCTCACTCTACCTAAAGGCTTTTTTCCTTTCAAAAATTTTAAATTAGCATACAGAAAGATTGAGTCTTTGGGTATACAGTTTACGAGTTTTAACACATGTACAGATTCATGTAACCACTGCTATAGTTCCAAATTCCTAAAATCTCCTGTGCCACCCCTTTGTAGTCATGCCTCCTTCCCCCTGGCAGCCACTGCTCTGTTCTCCAACACTCCAACAGAGATTTGTTGGCCGCATTGTGTGCATCTTCTGAGAAATGTCCTTGGTACCTTCTGATGTAGGATAAAGACATGCAAATCACCTCCACTCTCCTGTAGCCTCCCATCTTCCTTGGGATCACAGGCATGTGTCACCACGCCCAGCAAATTTTCGTATTTTTAGTAGAGATGGGGTTTCACCATGTTGGCCAGGCTGGTCTCGAACTCCTGACCTCAGGTGATCAGCCCACCTCAGCCTCCCAAAGTGCCGGGATTGCAGGTGTGAGCTACTGCGCTCGGCCTTATTTTTTGAAGTCTTGGTACACCTTTTTTTAAAAAAAGAAGCAGGCTGGGTGCAGTGGCTCACACCTGTAATCCTAGCACTTTCGGAGGCCGAGGTGGGAGGCTCCTTGCTTGAGCCCAGGAGTTCCAGACCAGTCTGAGCAACAGGGCGAAACCCCATCTCTACAAAAAATACAAAAATTAGCCAGGTGTGGTAGCAAGCCCCTGTCCCAACTACTCAGGAGGCCGAGGTGGGAGGATCACTTTAGCTTGGGAAGCAGAGGTTGCAGTGAGCCTAGATGCGCCACTGCACTCCAGCCTGGGGGACAGAGCAGGACTCTGTCTCAAAAAGAAAAGAAAAAAGAAGCCGCTTAGTTTTGTTCCAGAAGATCATTTGCAATCATCAATGAGAACCCGCACATCATTCCTGTTTAATTGGTGTAAAACAGGGGTGGCTGTCGGGGTCTGTCCGTGTGGAGGAATGAGGACCACAGTCCACTGGCCCACAGGTACATGCATGCCCTTAGTGGGCCGACTTCTGGGAATACACCAGCATCCGTAGAGCTAAGGATTTACCGTATGCCTTGTCCTCAGAAAAATCGCTTCCCCTGCCCATGTCGCCCTGATTACTGTAACAGCTTCAACGCATGAACCAGATTGTTCTCATTTAATGAAGTGTTGACTCTGGAGTCTCCAGGATAACTTGCAGTTGCCCAATTTCCTGGTGAATTTTCAGGTTCTCTAGTGGTTTGGAGACATGAATGAACTCAGGAATTTTTTAAGGTAAATAAAGTCTATGAAGTGTGATTTACTTTCTTGGTTTTTGGCGCCTGAACTTGAAGTGATGGGCCCTAGCTAGAGGGGCATGGAAGTCAGTCTGAAGGCTGCAGTTATCTTTGCAGCAGGGAGAAGCTGGGCTCTGAGCTGTGAGCAAGGGAGGTGCTTCGGGGCCGGTGGAGCTGCTTCACTGAGCTGGGAGCTCTCCTGCCCTCCCCGGGCTTGCTTCCCCTGCCTCCTGGGATGGGGATGGCTGGCCTCAGAGGAAGGGAAAGATTGCTGTTGGCAGAGGATGAACTCACCCCTGCGGTGTTGGTCTTTGGTCTGGGGAGCCAGGTTAACACGTGAAGCTCAAGGAGCACAGAAGTCCCTGTTTCTATCTTTGTGCAGTTTTGGTCCAGGGTAAAAGGATGAGAGTGCCTTTCCACACTGTGGCCTGCGGGTTTGTGGTGATTAACTTGTGGTGGGGCCTGCACTCTAGGGTCATCCACTTGGTCAGGTTGGTGCCAGGATGCTGGCCTGAGAGCAGGAGCCAGGGCTGGAAGCAGGGCTGGGCGTGGCTGGGTCTTTCGAGGCAGAGCTCAGAGGCTTGTGGTGATCAAACAGAGCCGGAGGGGGAGCCAGGGGAACAGTCCCACATGGGAAACAGAGGCTGAGGGTCTAGCGAGGCAGGCCCAGCAAGGCAAGCCAGGTGTTGGGCCACAGGCCTGGTGGTCTGCCCTCAAGATAGAGGTTTGGAGAGCAGTGCCCTGAAGTTCCCCCAAAAGTTGAGATTTAAAAAAAAAAAAATCAGAATACACATGCCTGGCTGGGTGTGGTGATGCATGCCTGTAGTCCCAGCTACTCTGGAGGCTGAGGCAGGAGGGTTGCTTGAGCCCAGGAGTTTGAGGCTGCAGTGAAGTATGATTACGCCACTGCACCCCACCCTGAGCAACAGAGGGAGACCCTTCTCTCTCAAAAAAAATAAATAAATAATTTTAAAAAAAGAAAGTCCGCATGCCTGACTTCTGTGCCCAGAATCTCTGGACATGGGGCCCTGGAACATACATTTATTCAAAGCTCACTTTTAAAAGTTGGTACACAGGTAGGGTGGCCACAGTGGGATCCCAGGCTGCTCTGTGGATCCAGGTAGAAGGCAGCCCCTGCTGGAAGGTCAGGCACTACTTTACCCAAGCCAGGCCACCCCTTATTAAACACCAGCTTCACTCGAGCAGTGGTTCCCAAATTTTCTTGGTCTGTGAAGACGTATTTTCTCTATTTTTAGCCAAACAGAATGATTTTAGTCCATCATGGGTCAAACCTTCTGATATTCTTTAGTCCCCATGGAAGACATTCTTGTTTCTCCTTTAAGACCATCTCTGGGGTCACCTTCGGTTGCCTTGGGGGTGTTTGAGCCTCTGCCGCAGGGACACTGATAAGGACATGAGTTGTGGTACGCCCCGTTTTGTGTAGCAGCTGTCAGTTTGTTTCTGGAATGAGACTGAGCTTCTAGAAGTCTGGGCATTTGGTTCTGGTTCACCTTTGAGCTGCTGGCACGGAGGAGCTTTGTAACACAAGCTTACTGAATTGATGTTTTAGTGAAAGGGAGAAAAGTCCTTTTCAGCTCCCTTTTTCCCACCATTCCCCGCTGTTCATCCGAATTACTCATCCACACATAGCCAGTAAAGGGCGCCGTAGACTGAACCTGTAGGAAACCAGACTCCAGGCAGCCCCAGAGCACACTCCCCAGAACCACTAAAATAAACACAAAATGCACTCTCGCCGGATTCTGAGAAGGAAAGGCCCTCCAAGGTCGTAGGGTCCAGTGGCTCTCAACCCTGGCTGCACATTTGAATCATCTGGGGAGCTTTTTAGAAATGGTCATGCCCAGCCTCCACCCACAAAGATTTTGATTCAACTGGTCTGGGGTGGGGCTCAGGCTTTGCTGGAATTTTCTAAAAGCTCCCCAGGGGCTTCTAATATGCAGCCAAGTTTGCAAACCACTGCTCTAGTTGAAAGCTCCTCACTGAATATCTGAATGAAAGGATTAAACAGATCCCTGCCTAGTGAGGTATTGGCCCCCCTCCCCCATAAGACCATGGGCTGGTGGTAGAGTTGCCAGCAGTTCTTTCCTGGATTCCCTATGCCCCTCCATCACCCAGTCACATCATCCAACAGACCTACCTCGGACCATCCCTCCTGCCCGACCAGAAGCAGACTCCGAACAGAATCTAATTTCAGATCGATCAGTGGGCAAACATAAAGGATGTGATAAGCTCCAAAGTAAGATTTCCTTGTTTCAGGCCATACGTTTGATTTTGAATGTTGTATTTTTGTATTAATTTGTTAGGGCTGCCATAACAAAGTACCGCATGCTAGGAGGCTTAAACAACAGAAAGAGTCATTGTCTCACAGCTCTGGAGGCTGGAAGTCTGAGATCAAGGTGTCGGCAGGGTTGGTTCCCTCTGAGGCTGTGCGGGAGGGATCTGCTCCAGGCCTCTCTCCTTGGCTTGTAGGGGGCTGCCTTCTCCCTGTGTATTCAAACAGTCTTCCCTCTGTGGATGTCTGTCTCTGTTCCTGCTTTTTATAAGGATAGCAGTCCAATTGGATTAGGGCTTACTGTAATGACCTCATTTAACTTGATTATCTCCTTATGTGGAGACAGGGTCTCCACATAGTACACATACATAGTACACCCTGTCTCCACATAAGGTCACCGTCTGAGATGTACTGGGGGTTAGGACTCCAACATAACTTTTTTTGTTGGGGGTGTATGAGGGGGATTCAATTCAACCCATAACAAATATCTTCCAAGCCGGCCACTTTGACTGCAGCCTTTAACGGGTAGCTGCATATTTTTTTTTCTTTACACCCACTCTCACCCTCAAATTGCTCAAAACACCGGAGCCCAGGGCTGGTTGCCTGTCAGCGTTCAGCACGAACCTGCCCACTGACTGGCGTCTGCTCCCTGGCTTCTGGGTACACTCAGAGGATGATTGTTTGCATTCAGGCTCCTCCAGAGATGAATATAATTCCCCTAATTTCCTCACAGTGGCAGCAGTGGCTGAAGGGAGAGGTGAACTGTGAGAGATGGGCCCCTCTTGCCTAAGATGAAGGCTGGGGTCAGGGGCAGTGTTAAACATCAGCTGGAGAGGATTGTGAAAACTCTTTGGACAAGAGGGGTTTGTTTTAAAGCGAGGCTACTTTGGAATGGACATCTCATTAGTGAACAGGTTGGGGAGTGGCAGGGTTATGGAGAGGAGGAGGCGTTCCATTCCCGTAGCTATTCTGTATCAACCGCTGGGGTCAGAGGCTCTCAGCTGGAGTCCACCCACAGACAGAATTCAGGGAAGCTCCAAAAACCTGAATGGAAAGAAATTACATTTTATTTTCACTAACTGAAAATTGGCATTTTCTTCAATTATGAATGTAGACTATAAACCACAGGGACATTAACAGTTCTCATGACTGTCACCAGTAGCAATTGCAAAGTGCATTTTTAAAAAATGTTTGTGGGTACATAGTACACCGATGTATTTATAGGTACATGAAAGCAAAGTTAATTTTTTACAGTGTGGTAGAGTCATTGTAAATGTCTTGATATACTGTTATCCTTAGCAATTCTTAATACTTCAGAATTAAGGTTGTTATGAGATTCGCTGCTAGGTCTTATTTAATATGTTAATTAAATATTACCATGGTGGAAAATATAAAATATTTTGATAACTGCATTTTACTGTAATTGGTTTCCTTTGCAATGCTGTGTATTTAATTTGTGCATTTAGCATCATTCTGTGGAGGCCTCTGTGGGCTTCCCTAGCCTACCAAGGAGTGGTCTGTGGCATTGAAGAGGATAGGGATCCTTGGTTTGCATTTATAGTAACTGTTTCCTGTTCCCAGTCAGTGAATAAATCCTGTAAGTGGAGATAACTCTAGATTACAGTCTTGACCATCGCTTGATTTATTAATAGTTAAATTTACAGCTCCTCTTTTTGGCTCCTTGAGGCTGCCGTGTGTGTGCACACATGTGCGCCTGTGTAGACTACGGCTTGCCTTCTTTTCAAAGACATCAGAGATTAGGTGATTAGGTAGAAGCTTTTGAACAAGCCCAGCCTTAAATCTGCCCTCCAGTCCTGTTAGATCCTTCTTGGGAAGCTGGTCCCTGTCCCTGGCCAGTCAGTCTCAAGTGAGTGGGGCTGAGAGGAGCTGCAGGCAAAATAAATACCCACTCCTTCCAGAGTTACTTGCCTTGAGACGTGACCTTCTGGGTCACTCTGGAAATGTGCAAAGTTCCAGTGCCCGAGTGGCGTGTGTTGGAGACGCTGAGGCTGGTTGGATGACAACACTAAAGCTGGGGTTGGAAGACCTGTTTGGGGCGGCCTGGAAAAACATGTATGGTGCCAGATCATGGGCCCTGGTTGATGTGAAAATAATCTGCTGTAGATCATTAGGTTTATGGAACTTGGTTTGTTTTTTGTTTTAATTCTTATTTTTAAATAATGATAGACTTAGGTTGCAAAAATAGGACATAAGATTCGGGAGAACTTCCTCCAGCTTCCCCAGTGGTGTCATCTTATGTAGCTGAAGTTCAATATCAAAACTAGAACATCAACACTGACACATTACTGTTAACTAGACTACAGACCTTCAGCCCTCACCATTCTTCATGTTTTGTGTGTGTGTGTAGTTTGTGTGGACAGGTCTATGCAGTTTTATCCCATGTATAAATTTGTGTAACTAACACCACAATCAGATACAGAGCTGTTTTATGGAACTTATTTTAAAACTTGATCGGGAGGCAAATGGCAGTGAGTTTGCATCAGTTCTGTTAAATTGTCCTTTAGCCTCAGGTCACAGTGGTGGTTGTAACATCTGCCTCCTGAGTCACCTGTCTGGTCAGCCTTGGGGCTGGAGGTAGAGATTTGACTGTAGGGCTGAGCCCCAGAGTATTTGGAGTCCAGTGCTAGGTGGGCTATTATTTACAGGGCTCAGCCTGGATCTGGAGCACTGCAGCAGGAGTCTTGGGTGCCAGTGGCCTCTTGCTTCACAGGCACAAGCACTCTGGGGCTAGACCTTGGGAGCAGAGTATGTTTCTCTGGGCTGGAGAGCAGGAATAATGTGAGTGAGGGGCAGGGCACAAGGGCACCAGCTGAGTCCTCAGGGGTTCAGAGAAGAGCTCCAGGCCTCATAGGCAATGAGGGGACAGGTCAGGAATAAATAGAGATGCCCTGACTAGACCTGGGTGGCGTGGTAAGGGTTGTAGGGTAAGGTCTTAGCCTGGTGGGCATGGGGGTACCCAGGAGCCCTGCCCTATCCTTCCCATGCACACTGGAACTGACTGTGCTGAGTACAGTCAGATCGGACATCACTGCTGGGCATGGCTTCCTACAGCCTATAATGTGAGATCCGATTACCACAGTAGATGGGAAGGCATTTGATACAAATCCCAGAGCACACTCAAAAACTAAGGTGGTGGTTTTGTCCCAAAGCTGGTCATGGGTTGATTGTCTCTTTAGCACCTCTCAGTTGACCAGGACATCTGATTAAGTGGAAAGCTACATTCTCCAACCACAAAAGATAATAATGTTCATACTGTGTCTGGGTTTTATGGTTTTAGATATCTGGCAATGCTGGTGCGTGTATTTTTTTCTTTTTTCAGACGGAGTCTTGCTCTGTCGCCCAGGCTGGAGTGCACTGACGTGATCTCGGCTCACTGCAAGCTCTGCCTCCTGGGTTCACGCCATTCTCCCGCCTCAGCCTCCCGAGTAGCTGGGACTACAGGCGCCGGCCACCACACCCGGCTAATTTTGGTGCATGTATTTCTATTTTTATTTTTCGTTTGCCATTTCTTCCAGTTTCCTTGGTTAAAGTTTTCAGCTAAGTACTTACCTTTATAGTCAGAGATAACGCCTACTCTACACCTGCAAGTATCATTCTCCCACCCTACCTTTTCTCCTGGCTGATTCCAGCAATGTGGGACTGGCTGGGGGGTAAGGGGCTAGCACATGGTACAAGACCAGCTCCCAAGAGCAAGTGTTGAGTGCAACCACTATGGAAAACAGTATAGAGGTTCTTCAAAAAACAAAAAATTAATTAAAAATTAAAGAATTATATGATTCAGCAATCTCATTACTGGGTATATATCCAAAAAAATTGTGAAATCACTGTCAAAGAGACGATCTGTACCCCCACATTCACTGCAGCACTATTCACAATAGCCAAGTTACAGAAACAACCTGAGTATCCGTCGACAGATGGATGGCTAAAGGAAATGTGGGCTCTGCACGCAATGGAATATCATTCAGCTTTTTAAAAGAAGGAGCCAGGCATGGTGGTTCATGCCTGTATTCCCCAGCACTTTGGGAGGTTGAGGCAGGAAGATCACTTGAGCCCAGAAGTTCGAGACCAGCCTGGCCAACACAGTGAGACCCCGTGTCTAAGAAAAATACAAAAATAAGCTGAGCATGGTGGCACATGCCCGTAGTTTCGGCTACTCGGGAGACTGAGGTGGGAGGATCGCTTGAGCCCAGGAGGTCGAGGCTGCAGTGAGCCAAGATCCCACCACTGTACTCCAGCTTGGGCAACAGAACAAGACCCTATTTCAAAAAAATAAACAAGGAGAAGGAAATCCTGCCGTTTGTGACAACAAATGGATGGACCTGGAGGACATCATGCTAAGTGAAATAAGCTAGTCACAGGACAAATATTGTATGATTCTGCCTGTATGTGGGATCGAAAATAGTCAAACTTAAAGAACGCTGGTTGCCAGGGAATGGGGGAAGAGGGAAATGTGTTGTTCGGTGGGTGTAAAGTTACAGATATGAGATGAGTAAGCTCTGCAGCTCCGCTGTACAACATAGTGCCCATGGTTTAGAGTTGGGCACTTACAACTTTATTAAGAGGGTCAATCTCATGTTAAGTGTTCTTACCAAACACACACACACACACACACACACACACACAAAGGGACACAAGGAAGCTTTTGGAGGTGATGATGTGTTTATTACCCTGACCATGGTGATGGTATTATGGATGTATGCACGTGTTCAAACTCATGAAATTATCTATATTAAATATGTGCAGTTTTTTGGTATATCAATCATACCTCAACAAAATTGTAAAAAACAAAAAAAGAGTAAGTGTGGGAACAGTGAAGATGGAGAAGGAGGGGTAGGGGTGGTTTAACCAGGCAGGCCCTACACTGTCCCTGAGGGGGACACCTCAGGTGGTGTGGGGGTGTCGGGGAGTCATGGAGCTGGGTGCTGCCGAGTCTGAGCACCATCCACCCACCGCCTGGTAGAGCTGCGTGGACTGAACCTGGGACAGGCTATCAGAGGAGGGCCACAGGTCCATCTGTAAATACGACTTTTTTTTTTTTTGAGACAGAGCCTCACTCTGTCACCCAGGCTGGAGTGCAGTGGTGCAATCTTGGCTCACTGCAACCTCCGCCTCCCGGAATCAAGTGATTCTCATGCCTCAGCCTTCTGCGTAGCTGGGACTACAGGCACCCGCTACCACACCCGGCTAATTTTTGTATTTTAGTAGAGATGGAGTTTCACCATATTGGCCAGGCTGGTCTCAAACTCCTGACCTCATGTGATCCACCCACCTCGGCCTCCCAAAGTGCTGGGATTACAGGTGTGAAACACCGCACCCAGTCTAAATATGATTTTTGAAACTAAACTTGTGGCAGGAGGACAGGGTTGCTGCAATCCCAGGACAGAATAAATCTGAGAACCTCCTGCCTCTATTTCCTCCATTCAACTTCCCTTGCCCATTAGTGTCAGTTTCATCTTCCAAAAAACACCATCATTTCATAACTTCATTTCTAGGAAAGCCACAATTGCTCCTTTTCACTTCACACACCAAGTCTAAACTTCCCTGTGTAACTCTCAAGGCTTTCCCCATCTGACCTCACTCGGTCAGGTCAGCCTTCCTTCTCATCAGTCCTTCATTCAGCAGTCTCTGAACCTTCCCCACTGAACACACCTAGTGCGCTTCTACCTCCTTCCAGACTCTACCCCCTAGCATGCTGGCCTAACAACATTGGCTTTGATGACCTGAACTCCAGATTCGCCTGCTGTCCACAGTTTCTTTCTTTCTTTTTTTTTTTTTAATGAGATGGAGTTTCGCTCTGTTGCCCAGGCTGGAGTACAGTGGTGCAGTCATAGCTCACTGCAACCTCGAACTCCTGGGCTCAAGTGATCCTCCCACCTCAGCCTCCCAAAGTGCACATTTTCTCATATGTACCTCACAATCAAACACAATTGCCTTTTTATAGGATGTATTATCTTATAACTTCTACCTGTCATTTATCTATGTGTGATTGGTGAACAAGACAAAGCATATTGTGTTGTTCCCTAATTGTTTCAGTGCAGAGGCCTTGTCTCCCTAGCCAACGGGAGGGGAGGGATTTTTAACCAAGGCTGTATTTTTTGGTCTGCTCTGGGCACCCGTGCTGCCATGTACCTGCATCTGTGCTTGCTAGGTGACAGTACAACCAGCTCCCATGATGCAGGGCCACACAGCCCTGGTCTGGGTTCTTCCTTGGCAGACTCGTCCAGCACAGACTGGAGTTTATAATTACAGTAGTCATTAGCCTGGAATGCAAGGGCCTGGCAATCAGGATTTTTTAAGATAATGTTTAGGTTTTACTTGGGCACAAGATAGTTAAACTCATTTTGAGATAATTGTGAAAGATCCAAATTGAAAAAGAAGAGCCAACAATACTTTCTTGTTACTAAAAGTTGATATCGCATAAACCTGCGTTCTGCAAACTTGGATCTAGAGCATGACAAGATAGCCTTGAAAGATGAATATTTCAGAGAGAGGAGGATGAGATCCCAAGGGCCAGCAGTGTGCTCACTCTCTGGAATAGCTCCTGCAGCCCAGTGAGTAGAGTTGTGTACCCCACCTTCCCTTCTTTGTGGAGACTGGAGCTGACTTTGCTCTGCTGGGTCATCTTAGGGTTGGGGCAGAGACTGTATCTTCCATAGGTGGATTTCATTTTCAGAAGCATCAAGCCTGGCATTTTCAACAAAGTGAGCAATCTCACTTTGTAAAATCAAGTCAATTTTGGAGGAGTAAAAGTCATACATATTCATCAAAAGAAAATTGAGCAATATAGAAAATTGAGATATAAAAAAATTTAAGGAGCAAATAGCTATGCTCAGGGTTTGGAGTGCCAAATCATGGGTTTGTTCCTGGTGCCATGCCACTGTGTTCTAAAACAAGCCAGAGCCTCCAATTATAATCAGTAGCTCTTCCTTGGTTCCTTTTGCCACTGCCTTCCTGCTGTTATCCAAAGACTTCTTCCCTTATTGTAAAGGGGGAGAGTTCTCTCTGATTCTTCTTCCTCTCTCTCTCTCGCTCTCTCTCTTTCTGCTAATTGGAGAAACTTCTGTCTCATAAAGATCTTAGTACCCGGACATCCCAGGAAAGAAAAATGGTGCCCAGGAAACCCACTCAGAGTGGAGTTTTGAAAGTGATTTTTTCCCGTCTGCCCAGGAAGCCAGCACATAGTAGGTGTGATGCAGTCTCCCTTGCTGCAGCCATTCCCCGACTGGAACCACAACAGAAAGACAACAGATGGGCTGTGGACAAAAGAATTTCCTTGGATTTTCCTGCCTAGGGACATCTTGGAAAATGCATATCTTGAAATTAGTTCTGTAGCCGCTTGTCAAAGGAATAATGAGGCTGTTGGTTTTTTAGACTTTGGGAAGGTGCCTGTTCTCATGCTGCTAATAAAGCCATACCTGAGACTGGGTAATTTATAAAGAAAAAAAGGTTAATGAACTCACAGTTCCACATGGCTGGGGAGGCCTCACAGCAGAAGGGAAAGGAGAAGCAGAGGCACGTCTTACATGGTGGCAGGCAAGAGAGCATGTGCAGGGGAACTCCCCTTTATAAAACCATCAGCTCTCATGAGACTTATTCACTGTCACGTGAACAGCATGGGAAAGACCTGCCATCATGATTCAGTTACCTCCCACCGGGTCCCTTCCATGACTCGTGGGAATTGTGGGAGCTACAATTCGAGATTTAGGTGGGGTCAGAGCCAAACCACATGAGAAGGATTATGTCAGAATGATTTGGGGGTGCTGTTTTAAAATGCACATCCTGGGCTTCACCCCTGTAATTTCCGCTCCAGATAGGACAGAACTGGGAATCCACAACAACTTCTAGGGTGATTCTGACCACAGCCAGGCTTGAGAGCTTTGTGGTGTGTACTGCTACTCACAGGACTGGGCAGTAGACATGAATGAGATGATCTGCCTTTGTCAGAGTCCTTCAGAGCTTCTGTTGTGGGTAAATATTGGGAAAGCCAATCCTCTTCAATAGGGTTCATATGAAATTTTATAAGCCATTTTTATAAGTCAGAAATAGTTGATGGTTAGCAATTCTATGCAGTTTCACTGATAGAGCCAGGAAGTGAGGCTGGTTGGGGCTTGGAGTTGACCATCTCCTGCCTGCTAGCTTTGCCGCCTTGGCCAAATAATTTGGACTCTCCAAGCCTCCATCTTGCATCTCCAGAATGGGGATTGTGACATCTCCTTTGCCAGATTCTTGTAAAATGTAGAGTTTACCGTGTACATGTCAAGTGTCCCTGGTACCTCAGTAGCTACTGTTTTTATCCTATTGTGATAACCATTCCCATCTTCCCCCCTCCCCCCACACTGCCCTAAACACATCCCGGGTTACTGCCTGAGTCCTCGTAGACCTTGGGGAGACCAGTTTCTCAGTCTTCACTGCTCCTAGGTGTTCTCCCGCACCGTCCAATGAGATGTGCAGTGTCCTCCCCGAGGCCTGTTTGAAATATGTCCTTGATGTTGCCACCAGAAGGCCCTGATTGCAGCCACGTGTCCACCAGGGGAGCCCCGCAGTGCTTCCCACCTCACATCCCACTCAGCCACGTCCAGCTTGGTATACCAACAAGCATCAGACAATGATGTTAGGGCCATGGGGTGCCATTGAGGTAATGGTCGGCCCTCCTCTCCCTTGGAGAGAAGGCAGAATTCTTCCCACTGAGCTGACCTCCCCGTGGCCCCTGTGGCCACCACCCCCACACCAACTTTGTTTGATCCATACTTCTTATTCCCAAACTCACTTGGCACACTCTTGTCACACAGCCTTTCACTTGTTCTGTGCCTCCTTCACCTAGAACATTCTTGTTTGTTTGATTGTTTGAGACAGTCTCGCTCTGTCGCCCAGGCTGGAGTGCAGTGGCGCGATCTCGGCTCACAGCAACCTCTGCCTCCCAGGTTCAAGCGATTCTCCTGCCTCAGCCTCCTGAGTAGCTGGGATTATAGGCAGGTGCCACCACGCCTGGCTAGTTTTGTATTTTTAGTAGAGACGGGGTTTCACTATGTTGGTCAGGCTGGTCTCGAACTCCTGACCTCAGGTGATCTGCCCGCCTTGGCCTCCCAAAGTGCTAGATTTATAGGCGTGAGCCACCGCGCCCGGCCACCTAGAACATTCTTTATCCTTTCACAACTGCAGGCTTGCTCCCCACTTCTTCCCTCCTTTAGTTTAACCGTCACCTCCTCAGTGAGGCCTCCCCTGACCACCCTATTTACAATTGCAGCGTCCGCCCCACCTCCAGCCCTCTTCACCCCTCTCCTGGATTTATTTGAGTCCAGAGCACCCCTGCCATCATTGGTCATTGCCCGTCTCCACTCGCTACCACAGCAGCGCCACAAGGGCTTGTTCACTGGTCTACCCCAGCACCCGGACAGTGTCAGCACACCGGAGGTGCCCAAGAAACGTTTCTAAAAGAACGAATAAATGAGTGGCAGCAGTATTTTAAAAGATCGAAATTTCCCGCCTTTGCCCACACACACCTTATTTCCTGAGAAAAGTTAAACTTGCCAAATAAATATTCCTTTCAAAAGGAAAATGAAGATAACAAGCTTGTCTTCTCCCCATCTTTTCCTGCTCTGTCTGAGCAGAGGGGCCTCACCGGGTGACTGATTGAAACTATTCATTCTGAGCATTGGCACAAGCACAGACCTGCCCTTGCACAGTTGAGCTGCAGGGGTGTGGAGGAGCAGGGGAGTGGGTACGGAGGGGGTGGGGGGCTCCAAACAGCAGGTAGGTGTTGGCCCACAGCCTGACAGGGAGCACTGGAGACAGGCAGGAGGCAGAAAAACAGAAACAGCACCATGGGGGGATATATAGAAGCACTCTGCGGGGAGGAGGGGCGCATGATTTTGATTACAGCACAGGGTACCTATTGATTGAATTATTAATAAAGATTAAATTGAATCACACATATCCTATATATGAAGGCAGGG
This sequence comes from Homo sapiens, assembly GCF_000001405.40. Classification (NCBI taxonomy): domain Eukaryota; kingdom Metazoa; phylum Chordata; class Mammalia; order Primates; family Hominidae; genus Homo; species Homo sapiens. The sequence goes on from NW_025791763.1 coordinate 99,740, forward strand.
GAATCGCAAATACATTTATGCCAGTTTTTGTTTTTCAAGAGACAGGGATATCGAAGTCTCCTAAACTCAAGGGGTCCTCTGGCCTCAGCCTCCTGAGCAGTTGGAACTATAGGCACATACTACGGTGCCTGGTTTAAGCCAGTTTTTAAACAACAGCTTTACTGAGATTTGCATTCCATAGAATTCATTCTTTTTTTTTCTGAGACGGAGTCTGTCTCTGTTGCCTAGGCTGGAGTGCAATGGCGCGATCTCGGCTCACTGCAACCTCTGCCTCTTGGGTTTAAGCGATTCTCCTGCCTCGGCCTCCTGAGTAGCTAGGATTACAGACCCGCACCACCACGCCTGGCTAATTTTTGTATTTTTAGTAGAGACAAGGTTTCACCATGTTGGTCAGGCTGGTCTCGAACTCCTGACCTTGTGATCCGCCCGCCTCAGCCTCACAAAGTGCTGGGATTACATGCGTGAGCCACCGCGCCCGGCCAGAATTCATTCTTATAAAGGGTACAATTCAGCAGTTTTCAATATATTCACAGGATTGTGCAACCATCACCACTATCTAAATTTAGAATATTTTCATCACTGCATTAGCAGTCACTTTGTTCTCCTCTCCCCCAACCTTTGGCAGCCACCGGCCTTCTTTTTCTATGTTCTGGACCTGTCATATAAAGGGAATCGTACAGTGTGTGGTCTTTGTGATTGGTGTCTTTCACTTAGCCTGGTGTTTTCAAGGTTCCTCTGTGTCATGGTGTGTATCAGCACTTCCTCCGTTTTTGTTGCCAAATACTGTACTGCATTATATGGATATACTACATTTTGTATATCCATTCATCATTTGGGTTCGTTCTACTTCATGGCTACCACTGAGTCATTTGGAAATGTGATGCAAGGCTCAAGGCTAATGGGGTTTCCTCGCTTCCAAAAAAGAGGTGATGTTGCCCACCTGGCAGGTGGGTATGAGGCTCAGCAATGGTACATGCATCTCATTTAACTGGTCACTGTCAACTCCAAAAATGGGCCTTCCCCCATTTCTGTGGCTGTTCTGTGCTGGTGTGCAGTGTGTAAGATGGTCAGTGTTCCTGTGTTTTGACTGGTGAGTCAAGTCTGAACTCACTAGCCTAGCACCTGAGAGCCTCCTCATGGGATAGCATCCCCCTGACTCCGCCTGACAACCATCATTTCTCTTCAGTTTTCACTCCTGCCCAACTGGTTTCTTCGCAGTCTATGCCCAGGGCCTCCAGCTTTCTCACACTTGGGCCCTGCTGGGGCATCCAGCCTCTGCTCCTACATCCTTGGGTCACTGCAGGTCCCTGCCCGACCCTACCTTTCTTCCTCCGGACCTCATATTAGACCAGCTCCTCAGGCCTTTTTGGACATGACCGTCTCAAAGTGTTACTATGTTTAAGTGTGTGGTTTTTTGTTTATGTGTGTGGTTTTGTGTCTTTGATATCGTTGATTTGCCTTATGGCCTCAACCAAACCCTCACTGTAACATGGCACAGGCAGCGCCATGTGACATCCTTGTCCCTGGCCCGCCCGGCGCAGCTCACAGTGGGCTCTCTGTGAATGCTGGCTGGCTGAGTGTCTGGGAGTTGTGAGCCCTTTGCCATGTAACTGGAGAGGGTGGAAGTGTGAATGGAGACACCTGCTCAGTTGTACAATGCTCTTTGGACAGGGGATCAGGTTTAAATCAGTTTGAAGCCTGCTTTACCACCCCCTGCCCCCACAATTGTTATTTCCTGAAAGCATATGGTTGGCTGAGCTAGCTGAAAAATTACCCGAATTTTGATAAAAATTTGAACCATGGATTTCCTTTCTGACCATGCCTAGCTGTGTAAATTCCACAGGATAGTAACAGGTGCCTGGCCACCATCCAGCAAGACCCCTGATAACGTCCATGCAGTGGGGAGCCACGGGGGCAAGTGCTTCCCCTCCCTCCTGGTCATAGGCTTGAGCATGGGTAGCCAGGATGGGGGGTGGGTGCAACTTGAGATAAGCAAATCGACAACAATGAGGTACACCCTGTTCTTTGTCCTCTTGTCAACTTGTGATTTCCCGATGGATCAGGTAATCCCCAGTAGCAGATAACTCAGTTGAATTTTTTCACTGTCGCTGTTATCTGTATTCATTGTCTGCCTAAATAGTAGTGAACAGAGAAAAAAAGAACATTAAAATAGGAAGCTGGGAATGACAGGAAGAGGGACTGTAGGCCTGGTAAACAAAAGTTGGCTGTAACATGAGCCAGGATATGGAAGCGTGACCAATACTTTGGACTCTCTCAATGCTGGCCCTCTGCGGTTCATGGCTCTCCTCCCTTTCTCGCTGTCACCAGCCACGTTTAGGTCAGTCTTTGTTTTTGGCTGTTGTTCCTGAAGACGCATTTATCAGGTGGATCTCTTAAAATCAGGGTTAGGGATTGGAAGTCTAGCTGGGACAATTCCTGTGAAGACAGACTTCCTTCTGATGAAATATTTACTAGCTTTTGTAGGAAGCCATCTCCTCCTCTTTGCTGTGATAAGAGGTACTCCCCACCTTTCTGTCTCATGGCAAGGGTGGAAACTGATGATATTTGTAGGGCATACTGGGGTGAGCCAACAGGCTGGAGGCAGCCAACCCTGGGCATGCAAAGAAGCACCGTTTGGAAGCTCTGGTGTAGCTCTCGTGCAGCAGCAGTCCAGGCCCTGGGACATCTGAGTTTGAGGCTTCAGTCCTCCGCTGACTGACCATATGTTTACACTGCAGCCTGTTGTGGTATGAAATGAGATCTGGAAGCACCTGAGCTCCCCAGTGTCTGCAGGTAGATGATTATTTAATACCCTCTTCCCATACATCTTCATGGTCAGGAGACTGGACCTTGGCAATTCTGTTATTAGACAGCTCCACTCGTAGGGAATTTCTCCCTTATATTTAGCTGTTGTTTTCTCCTCCATTCCACTGTCTGGAGTCCCCATGGCAAGTTCGCATCCTCTTTCATGTCCCTGGCTCCAAAGGCTTTGGTGTCTCCAGGTAAGTAGTTCTCACATGGGCTATGACCCCTCATCCTTCATTATCCTAGAAAAATAATGCTTTTCTGAAAATTGTATATTCCATGGGAAAATCAGTAGATTTTGGAAGCCTGACATCTTAGTCCGTTCTGGCTGCTATAACAAAGTGCTGGCCAGGCACAGTGGTTCACGCCTGTAATCCCAGGACTTCAGGAGGCTGAAGCAGGTGGATCAGTTGAAGTCAGGAGTTCAGGACCAGCCTGGCCAACATGGTGAAACCTTGTCTCTACTAAAAATACAAAAATTAGCCTGGTGTGGTGGCAGGCACCTGTAATCCAAGCTACTCAGGAGGCTGAGGCAGGAGAATCGCTTAAACCCAGGAGGTGGAGGTTTCAGTGAGCCGAGATCGCACCACTGCACTCCAGCCTGGGTGACAGAGCGAGACTCTGTCTCAAAAAAAAAAAAAAAAAAAAAAATCCAACCACAAAGTGCCAGAGGGTGAGTGGACTATAAACTGCAGACATTTATTCTCATAGTTTGGGAGGATAGAGGGTGAGATCAGGGTGGTGGCACTGTCGGGTTTTGGTGAGGACCCTCTTCCAAGTTGCAGACTGCTGACTTCTTGCATTCCTCATACAGTGGAAAGAGAACAAGCCAGCTCTCTGGCCTCTTCTTATAAGGGCACTAATCCCATTCATCAGGGCTCCACCCTCATGACCTAATTACCACCCAAAGGCCCCACCTCCAAATACCATCACATTGGGGATTGGATTTCAACACAGGAATTTGGTGGCAGGGGTGTGGGGCACAAACACCTTATAATATTTGCCATATGTTTTAAAAAAATTTTAAGTATAAAGTCAACATCCACCACACTATATAAAAGAGAGACCTGGAGTGGTGGCTCATGCCTGTATTCCCAGCACTTTGGGAGGTCGAGGAAGAAGGATCACTTGAGCCCAGGCATTTGAAAGTGGCCTGGGCAAGAAAACAAGACCCCATCTCTACAAAATAATAAAAAACTAGCCAGGTGTGGTGGCGCATGCCTGTAGTCCCAGCTACTCGGGAGTCCGAGGCAGTAGGATTGCTTGAGCCCAGGAGTTTGAGGCTGCAGTGAGCCATGATTGCGCCACTGCACTCCAGCCTGGGCAACAGAGCAAGACCCTGTCTCTAAAAAATAAAAATAAAAAAATGAAAAAAGGGAAAAGACGATTATAATCCTACCACCTAACAAACTGTTTTCATTTGAGTCTTATCTTTGTCTTTATTCTGATGAATTCATATTTTATATAGTTAAAATCAAAGCATAGGTACACAGTTTTTGGTGGTTTCTTCATTTCATTATATAATGATTTCCCTCAAAGTTCTAGGCATTATAAGATGAAGACGACAGAACACAGATATCATGTAGCTGCAGTAAGCATTGGGATGGCTGCACACCATTCTGTGGAACGGATATAGAGTCATTTGTTAACCAGTGATACTGACAGAGAGCAAGCAGATCAGTGAAGACAGGAGCAGGGCCCCCGAGCCCTGAGAAAAAGCAGGGACCTTGCCAGGTGAGGAAAAAAATGGTATGAGGTAGGGCTACACTACGCTCCCAGAGACGTCTCCATGGACAGTGAGCTCTTTAGAGGGGAAAGGAGTAAGCTTTTGAACCATTTGAATTATTTAGAAGAAAAAAACACAGTGCCTTTCTTACACACTTTTCAGAATTTCCTGTGTTTTCACCTGCCATTAGCTGGTTACTGTTTGGGCTTCCTTTCATGGTGGTAAACACAGTTTGTTTTGTTTAGCCATTTCCTTCCCCCTCAAATACCAACACAGATCAATTCAGTCTTTGCCTGAGTCATACATGGTTCATGTGTCTCTTTCCTTCCATCTATCTCCCCTTAATTCACACTATTTACTGAACTCCTCCTGTGCACCCAAGTCTCCAGAAGGAGCTGGAGAAGGAGCAGGGTGGCAGGGGTGGGAAGGGGACAGCTGTGTGGAAGGCAGCGGGGCTGGAATCCTGGCATCTAGGCCCTTTCACGCTCCCACTCAGAGGGCTCTCTCTTCAGGCCAGAAATGCTGATATTTAATGAGCACTTACTAGATGGTTATTTGTCCATTTTATAGACAGGGAAATTGAGGCCTGCCAGTGTTAATTGACCTTTCTACGGCCTAGAATCTGAAGTTGGTGCAGCCTCACTGAAGCCCTGGCTCAGCCATGGTTGCCACCCATCCTGTCTGAGCTTTGAGAACCACAGAGACAAGACAGGCGGCAGGGCTGTGATTTTAGACACTCTTGTCTTAGGTGTCTCAAGGTGGGGGTCACTTTGGAGCCTCAGCCAACCCCACTGTGATTGGATCTCCTGCCTACAGCCTGTTTCAAAGGGAAGTGGAGTTTAGGGAGACAGTCAAGAGGATGGATGGAAGAAAGGGGCTGGTTAACCTGAGAGGAGAGAAAGTAACTACCCACCCGTCAGAGCCTGGGGCTGATAAGGGAGGGCTCCTGGAAGACAGAGCTGGTGCTTCTCTCCACCTCTGAGCTGCTTTCCCTCCAGGGCCACTGGCTTCTGCAGGCGTTGTTGTCTTTTGCTCCTAAACAGCAAAAAGAGACTAATTGCCTTTATTGCCATGTTAAAATCAATAGAGCCACTCACCCTGAGTTCAAAATGATACGACCTAGGGAATGAAATTGGGACCACCTGTGGTTTGTTTCCTATTAGCCAGGCACAGAACAGTTTCTTGTTTCCCTTGGAATGAAACACAACCTGAGTCCTGGAGGAATAGTTCTCAAATGCATCCGGATCTCCTGGAGAGCCTGTTAACACACAAGCTGAGCTCCATTCCCAGAGTGTTTGATTCGGGGATTCTGGGGTGGGGCCCTGAGAATTTGTATTTCTAAGTTCTCAGGTGATGCAGATGCTGCTGGTCCCAGATGGGACTCTGAGAACCTCTATACTAGGTCATCTCTCAGACTTGGGCCTTTGTTCTCATCTTCCCCCTCCAAAACCTAACATAATCCACTACATGTGGTAGAGAGCCATCAAAAAGAGAGTTTCAGTCAAGGGGCTCTGGCTAAGTCCTGGAGCTGAGCTGCCCCCTCCCTTGCTCTGCTCACACCTTTCACCCCTCAGACTGAAACCCTCCGTTACCTGCTGCTATGCAGGGATTAGGATTAGAACAGGGCTGAGTGGGCTGGTACGGGGAGGGCCCTGCTGTGGTGTTGGTTTAGCTCCTTTTAGCACAAGGAATTTGATGAGCTAAGCATTTTCCACGGCAAGTGCATAAAAAAGATTTCTTACCATTTTTTGAAAGAAAGAAATATATCCTTTCTCTTGAGTCATCACTATTGTTAGTTGCTGAATGAAAAAAAAAGACTTAAAGCTCTGTTCTTTGAACACTTTTCTCTGGGTGCCTTTCTGTAGCTGTAGAAGATCTCTTGGGTTAAATTTTAATAATTGTTAATGGCTTCACACATAGGGGGTGTCTTGCCCTCCTGTGTAGGGTGTCACTGCCCAGGACGTGGCTTAGCCGGGTCCTGGGAACAGCTGCAAGGACTGTTGGAGAAAGGGGCAGGGGGCACTGGCTGGGGAGAGGGCCGAGAAGATCTCCTTTGAGAGATGGGGAGGGAGATGTGAGGCTGAGAATCTAGTATTGAGTTTCTAAACTTCTGATCTGCAAAGTGGTTTTTTTTTTTGTTTTTGTTTTTGTTTTTTTTTTTGGTAGAGACAGGGTCTTGCTATGTTGTATGTTACCCAGGCTGGTCTTGAGCTCCTGGCCTCAAGTGATTGTCCCGCCTTGGCCTCCCATAATGTTGGGATTACAGATGTGAGCTACGGTGCCCCAAAGTGCTCTTTTTGTTGAACAGTGTGTGAGCCCAGCTACCTGGAGGGTGTGTCTACCTGCCTGACCCTCAGCCATCGCAGCCTCATGACGGCTACACCCCGCACATTATCATACCCCTCAAATGTGCCTTCCAACCCCACACAGATTTCTTGTGGTTCCCATCCTGGTGAATCTTCTCAGTTATCCACATTACAGACCTCAGTGGAATCTTCCACACCACCTGGCTCATGATGGTCTCTGCTCCTTGCCTTTCACGTTCTTCAGAGGCTAGTGACTTCCTAAAGTGAGGATTGAGGAAATAACAACCACGATAAGAGTTACAGCTGACCCTGGAGTGTTTCCTGTGCACCAGGAGCCCGTTCCAAGTATCTGTATTTATTCACTCGTGTCATCTGTAGCAGCCCCAACACATAGGTTAGGACCTGTCACTAGTCCCATTTATAGGTAAGGAAGCTGAGGTGCTGGGAGGTTGCATGATGTGCCGAGCATCTCACAGCCAGCAAATAGCAAGTAGCTAGACCGCTTCCTCCCTGGCAGGTCTGAAGCACATGATTCCTAGCCCCAGCCTTCCTAAGGGCCCCTAACAGACGGTGGCCTTCCCCTGGCATCCAGAGTGGCTCTGCTGACTGGAGCAGTCAACTGTTTCTCCTCTGCAGTTCCTGAAGGAAGGAGAAAAGGGGGAGGCTGGTGGGTTCAGGTTTCGTAGACCTAAGAGGCCAGCTGCCCTGTGACCCCTCCTGAGTTGGGGCTTCTTTTTGGGGGATTAGGGAGGAGAGTTATAAGAGAAAGAGGTGCGGAGAGCAGGGAGCACCTGAGAGAGGGCTGGAAGAAGTGGTAAATAGATGGACCTGCCCAATGAGAGTAGCCAGCGTGTGCATGTGAGGGGCAGGTAGCACAGAGGGAATGTATTCCTTGTCTAACTTGGCATATAGCCAAAAGCTAGGTGTAAGTTAGTAAACTACAGCCTTCAAAACAGCCCCTGGGAAAGGCCCTGCTTTGGAGGGTAGAAGGACATATAGGAGGCTCCCAGAGGTACGGGTGTGCCTCCCTGCTGGGCATGGGCCCGCCTGCTGGGGGCAGCAGCAAAAGGAAGCAAGTAGCCCGGAGGAAAAAAAGAACTATGTGTGTGACTGTGTGGTGGCCAGGAGAGAGGGAGAGGGTTCAGCACACACAGGGAACCCCAGGCAGCTCCCAGAGCCCAGGGGAAGCATTCCTTTTTGTAGTTGAATGATCCCAGGGGAGCAAAAGGCTGGCTGGAGGAGAGGGAGAGGAATTCTGCTTGGAGGAGAAGGTCTGGGGCCAAACTGCCCCAGCTAAGGTGACTGGTCCGTGTGTCTGCATCTTAAATCTGAGACCATTGGTTCCTTTGCACCTGTGTAGTATCCTCAGGGAGGGTTCCCAGGGCGCTCGTCTGGTGTTGCCCCTCTTTGAGGCACCTCACTCATTGACCATTAAGCAAGCATCGAGTGGGTGTCAGTTTAACAAGTGTCTTGTGTTCAGTGCCAAGGCCAGGGGCAGGTACAAGGCATGCTGAATGCAGCCCCTGCCACAGGATCCATGTTTCAATAGGGAGGGAGACGCAGAACTTTGCGTAAAACTGAAACCTTATGGGGCGGGCCCTGTGGTGTCTAAGGCCACACTGGGAGTCTCAGATCCTGCCAAAGGACAGGGGAAAAGGGAGCAGCTGGTGGACATGGGGAGGAGGCAGGATGGACGGGGCGCCTGAAGGAATTAAGTGGGATTTCGGTTGGAGAGGAAAAGCAAAGATGGCAGGGAGAGACGAGGCCCTCAAAACTGAGCTTGTTCGTCAGATGGGAGATGGACATCCAAGCCTCTCCATGAGGTCTGGCACGTGATCTGGGGCACGGTCTGTTCTGCAGTCATAGCTGCTGGCCTGCGGGACCTGCAGGCAGAGTCCCTGATACTCACTCTCTGTGAGTTAAGGCCAGATGCAGGCTTCAGACACCTTTAACTGAGAAGCAGGTGGGTGCTGGCCTGGGGTGCCAGGGAGCTGAGGGTAGAAGGAATGTATTAATGCCAGCAGCTGCTCTCTGATCCTGGCCCTCTGTGACTTCCTCTTCACCCATTGTAGCATACCAGCCAGACTGTGAAGGAATGAATGAAGTGGGTAGAGAGGTTCCCGGTCAGGCTGTTCCAGGCAGGATAAGATAACCCTGGTTCTCTGCACTCCAGAGAGCTTGTGCTACCAGCTTTTGATGCTAGAAAACCCCAGGTGGGAAATGGCCCTCTGAGTAGACTGGACATGAAGCTGGTGATGATTACTGCTTCAGCAGGGACAGAATAACCACTTTCAAAATAACACCCCGAATGGCTTAGCACAATACAAGTTGATTTCTCTCCCCATCACGGTCCAATGCAAGTCTGCATCAGCACTGCCTGTTCATTCAGGAACCCAGATCTCCCTGTCTAAGAGCTCTGCTGTCTTCCTGAGTGGTGGCTCCCACTTGGAGTGTCAGAATCACCTGAGGACTTGTGAAAATACATTGCTGGGTCCCCACCTCCAGAGGAAAGGTCCTGAGAATCTGCATTGCCAACAAGTTCTCAGAGGATGCCGATGCTGCTGGTCCAGGGAGCGCACTGAGAATCCCCGCTCTAGGGCTTCGTGGTTCCTCACTAGAGCTTCTGCTTCAAGGGGTGAGAGAGCAGAAGTCAGACACAATGGCCCCACTTCACTCCAAGGAAGCCTGAGAAATGTAGTCCTTTTGTGCACCCAGGAGGAAAATCAAATGGTATTGTCTGTGCCACAGTGAAAAGGGGCAGCACAGAGCCGGGTTTAACCTGGTATCTGCCTGAAATACTAGATATCAAAATGCATTTCAAATGGATGGGCAAGTCAGCCAAGAGTGTCACTGACTCATAGGCATACATGCCTTTCAAGAAGGCAGATCATGAATGGAGGTCATTACTAATGTATAACTTGTCCTATTGTGCTAGCACCAAGGGGAGTCACCTAGGACTTGGGTTCCTAGGATGGATGGCCCGTGGTGTCCCTAGTCCAAGCTTTATATCCTAGGCCTAGGGAAGAATGCGTCAGACAGTAGTCAGATCATCATTGGACCTGATGGACTTTGCTTCTGACATTTCCATGATTTTGACATGTCTTTCTTGGTGTCTTTGCTGCCTGGTGTCTCTCAGAGCCCATAACCCTGCTGGCTTGAATAAGGCAGTAGGTGTTTTATATTCAGAATCTTAGCCATGGTGAATAAGCATGTCATATATAGTTCAGCCCTGATTTTGGGGAAAATCATCGGGCGAGTCAGCAAGTTTATGTCTGTGCCGAGCATTCTGGAGGATGTAAGAGAACATGACTCCAGGCTGTTTGGAGAGGCAAAAGCAACCCAAATAAAGTAAGTGAGGACTTAGTGCAGACTGCAAGTGTATTAGCCAGAGGTGGCATTACAGAGCCCAGCTCAGGATACGGAATGGCTCCAGCAACTCTGTACTGCTCAACCCACTTCTGGAGCTTCAGGCTTAGTTCTAGGAGCTGCAGTTTCACCAGGACTTAGACAAACAGATGATAGCAAGGGTCTGGGAGGCCTCTGCCTGGAGAAGAGGGAAAGTCAAGGGGCATTTCAGCCATTGAAATCTTTGTAAAGTTGGGTCGTGGTTGTGGGAAGAGAGGTGATACAAGGTGTCATTCCAGGAAGGAAAGCTAGGCCTAAGTTCTCTCCTCTTCTCAGTGGAGTGAGGTTGTTTTTTGTCTTGGGGTATGTAGGCACCAGAACTGTTCACACAGTTTGGCAGATTTCATGTTAAGGAAATGACTTTGGGAAGAAAAGGAGGTGTCCATGTGGGTTAGAAATCTGGAAGGGCATTTTCCATGGAGCGAGCCTTTAGCCAAGCTCTAAAGGCCAGGTAGGATTTGGGTGAGCAGGAGGAGAGGACGCTGCAGTCAGCAGATGGGCAGTGAGGCGGGGAAGAAAGGCGGAACCAGGCCTGGTATCAGAGCTGGGGCTGGCAGGGGAGAGGCAGTGTTCGGGAAAGTGGAGTCCGCCTGAAGATTGTGGGACCTTCCGTGGGGAAGGTAACCCGGAAGCAGTTTCAGATTGGGTATTGGAGGAGAATGAGCGGACAAGGAGCAAATTTAAGAGCCAGCTTTCAGGAAATAGGTCTATAGTCCTTGGTGGTTCTGGTGTCTAGATGATGCTGGTGATTATGAAGTCTCTTTGCAGCCCCAGCCCTTGGAGCATGCAGGTGGAAGGCCAGATTCCTCACCTGGAGAGCTCCGCAGAAGATGATCTCATCAACCTACCCTTTTCTTGGCCCATCTTCATGGTGTGTAAGGACAAGGCTGCAGCACTTGGACCCTCTCTCAGGGGATGCTGCTGTGCTTAGACTGAGGTGGCCCTGCTGATGTTCCCTGCCCTTGGTATAGGGGCGGGACAAGGCTAGGGAAACTAACGGCTGTGCTCCCCTCTCTTCTACCTGGGCTAGGTCTTTGCTGTTCAGTTTGGCCAGGCGGGCTGGGCTGTCACATGAGTGATCCCTTCTGATCCTCACAGCACCCTTACAAGGCAAAGACTCTTAGCAGCCAATCTGTTTTGTTTCTGACTGAAACAAGCTCAGAGAGTCAAGGGCCTGGCCCAGGGTGTCACAGCAAAGTTCAGTGACAGGTTCTACCTGTGTCTTAGTTCTCTGACTCCACATCTAGAGCTTGTTCTCTTCCACCATTCAAGATCTTTTATAGCCCCAGATGAAGAATTTCATGTTTCTTAGGAAAGTGACTACCTGGGCAAGGACTTAGCGACGCCTGAGAAATTAGCTTCAGGAGAGTGTGCCCTAGTAATGATAAGTGACGTAATAACCAGCCTGTATTGAGGGTCTACTCTGTGCCAGGCCAGCGTTTGAACTCATGAATCTGCATCACAGCATTTTTTTTTTTAAGAGATGGTGTGTTGCTCTGTCACCCAGGCTGGAGTGCAGTGGTGCTATCGTAGCTCACTGTAGCCTCAAACTCCTAGGCTAAAGCGATCCCCCTGCCTCAGCCACCCCATTAGCTGGGACTACAAGCAAGTGCCACCACACTCAGCAACATCACGTCTTACAGAAGAGGAAATGGGAGGCACAGAGAAGAGAGAGGTTAAATGAGCTGTCTGGGGTCACACAGGTAGAGCCAGTCTCAAGCAGGAGCCAGCCGATAGTCTCACACTGAACCACAGGGCAGCCAGAGCTCCTCATGGAAGCTCGCTTGTTTATGTGGCCCAGCTCCAGAGAGGGTTGTCCTGTCTATCTCTGCTTGTGGGTTTTCTGGGGAGGCTGCATTGGAGAGAGAGGATGTGTCTCAGCCTGACACACCACACTCTGCTGAGGTTGTGGCAGTCCCTGGCTTGGGGTTAGGACATCTTAGGAAGTGGCAGCTCACGCCTGTGGCGGGTTTTTGTGATGGGCTGATAGAGAGGAAGGTGGTCAGAACTGGGAGGGCCCTCACTGTGCGGGTAGCCCCATGTTGGTGGAGGCCTCCTAGTCTGTTTGTATGCACTGCTGCCTCATTTAACTTGAGACTTAGATCCTCGGAGCAGCCTGCCAGGAGATACGAGTTTACCTCCCAGTCAGGAGACAACACAGGGGATTTTTTTTTTTTTTTTTTTTTTTTGAGACGGAGTCTCGCTCTGTCGCCTAGGCTGGAGTGCAGTGGTGCAATCTCGGCTCACTGCAAGCTCTGCCTCCCAGGTTCACTCCGTTCTCCTGCCTCAGCCTCCCGAGTAGCTGGGACTACAGGTGCCTGCCACCACGCCTGGCTAGTTTTTTGTATTTTTTAGTAGAGACGGGGTTTCATCGTGTTAGCCAGGATGGTCTCAATCTCCTGACCTCGTGATCCGCCTGCCTCGGCCTCCCAGAGTGCTGGGATTACAAGCGTGAGCCACCGCGCCCGGCCGCAGGGGACTTTATTTTAGAGCCCGATCAAAGTAACATGGAAAAGCTAAAGGTTCTCTGAGCTGCAGTGGCTCCTCCTTTCCATGAGGGGGCGCCATCCAGAGTCAGCGCTTCCTCTGAACACATCCCACTTGAATGGGACAGGCAGCCATGGTAGCCATAGAGCATATGGGCCCACACTGCTTGCATTTAAATTTTCACTCCTGTTGTTTCCATGATGAGCATTCCTCAGGTTCTATGCCATAAATTTATAATTTGGGAAATATGGTCACCATTACCATATGGCTCCCATTGTGTCTTCTAATTTAGCAAAGATGATAAATTTGTTTCCTGAAAATTTTAGGGTTAAAAGCATTCAATTGGATTTGATTCGTTGGGAGTTGGTGATGTGCCTGATGTATCTGTAACAGGAATATCCCATTCTTCAACCATGCTGCACACAGAGTTAGGAGTCCCAAAGAAGGCATTTGCCTGAATAATTCCATAAAACGTGTATGTAAAAGAAGTCATAAACGGAGGAAGGAAAATACTAGGTAGGTAATAAAGACATTTTTCATACTTTTATCCTGTTTGGAATATAAATTCTTTGTTCTCAGCTAGATTTGTACTGTACTAATGAGGAAAGGTAAACAACAACGAACTGCCACCCTTTGACATGTATATACACTCCTTTTCTTTGCATGTGAGTTGGTGGATACCATGTATAAATGTCTGCACATGTTGGCTGAGTGTAGTTTGGTGAACATACTCCGTCCCCTGCCCCCAGCCCTGACTAAGATGCAGCACCAGATACACATTTTGGAAGAACTGACCTTATTGTTGTCAAGTAGGTGGAACTTGTCAGAACGTCATCTTTTTCCTCTTACCCCTCCCACCCTCATTCATTCTCCAAGTGCCCTTTTCATTTCACTTCCTTTTAGATCCTCCTCTCAGCTGTCAGCTAAAGAAGACCTGATACTCTGATTCACCCCAAGATTCAAAGCTCTCATTTCTTATCTCTCCCAGAAGAATTTTCTGGATGAGCCTTTAAGCCAAAGGTATGACTGTCTAATAGCGGAATTTCAGTCATCTGGGACAGACTAGATGGGGAGATGTTAAGGAAAGAGACTCTTCCTGGTGTACCCAGAATTATAGAACTCAGATGTCCTCATGTGCCCTGTGTTTCTTGCTAAAAGTTGTATAGTTTTGTGTTTTACATTGAAGTCTTAAGTCTTACATTTAAGATCCATTTTGAGTTACTTTTCATATAAGGTGTAATGTTTAGGTTGAGGTTGATTTTTTTCCCCCTCCTGTAGATGTCCACTTGCTGTAGCACACTTTGTTGAAAGGACTACCTCTCACCATTGAATTGTTTTTACACCTTTGTAAAAAAGCAAGTGGGCAATTTGTGTTCTCTATTGTGTTCCATTGATCTCCATGTCTAGCCCTCTACCAAGACCATGCTGTCACAGTTACTGGAGCTATATAGTAAGCCTTAACACTGGGAAGAGAGATTCCTTTATTCTTTTTCAAAATAGTTTTGGCTCTTCTAGGGCCTTTCTCTTATGTTCACAAGGAAACTTATACATGTGAATGTTCATAACACCTTCATTCAAAATAGCCTCAATCTGGAAACTATCCAGATGTTCTTCAGTGGTGTATGGTTGACCAAACTGTGGTATATCTATACCATGGAATACAGCAATAAAAAAGAAAAAATTATTGATCACATGCAACAATATAGGCGAGCCTCAAGGAAATGATGCTGAACGAAAAAGTCAGTCTCCAAAGGTTATATACTGCATTTGCCATTTATATAACATTCGTGAAATGACAAAATTATAGCGAGGGGGAACAGATGAGTGGTTGCCAGGTGCTAGGGATGAGGGGAATAAGGGATAGGTGTTGCTCAAAAGGGGTAGCATGAGAGAATCTGGTGGTAATGGTACAGTTTAGTATTTTGATTGTGGTTGTTACACAAAGCTACACATGTGACAAAATTACATAGGGCTACACATACACACACACACACGAGTGTTTGTAAAACTGGTGAAATCTGAGAAAGTTCTGTGGAGTGTGCCAATCTCAATATCCTAGTTTTGATAGCATGCTAGTTAGCTATGCAAGACGTTAACATCGGGGGAGGCTAGGCTAGATGCTTGGAACCTCCCTGTACACTTTTTTTCCAACTTCCTATGAATCTATAATCATTTTGAAATAAAAAGTTAAAACAATATTACATTCTGTTTATGTCACATCAAGAATGGCAAACCTGTAAAAATATGGACATACAGTTGCCTCTGCAAAAGGAGGCTTCATCTGATTTCATAACATTTTATTTGTTTAGAAAAACCTGGTCTTGAAGCAAACATAACAAAATGTTAACATTTGTGAATTTAGGATGATGGATTTTATTTGTTGTGTTTTTCCCTGTCCTTTATTATGTGTTTGAATCATTCCATTATTTAAAAAATAAAATAAATGTAAACAAAAGCAATAATTATGCCAGGGTATGTATCTCCCTGGTATCTTGGTCCACTCACAAAAGTGGTCTGAATGTTTAATATTTCCTTAGTAAAACTGCTACTTGGTCACAGGCTTCTCTCCATGAATTACTAACTCCGGGTTGGGAAGCCTAAGAACATAATCCATCTTTTTTATTATGACAAGCTAATTTAATTTTAATTGCTCCTTATAGTATTGCATTATGAGGAGGAACTATCTTTAATTATCTTTTTGGGGGGGTGTTTCTAAAGTAATGTGATCTCAGAAGCAGAGCATCGTCCCTTCCAAAGTAGCCACCTGACTGTGAACTTAAAATATTTGTGTGCAACAGTGTAAATAGACTTCTCTGCTCCTCCAACTGGTGGAGGCTGCCCTTCCCCCCGAAGCAATTAAAAGAATTCCAGATGGGTGATTCTCCCCTTCCTGGTCCTATTTAAAAATACAAGTGTCGCTTCGGGGATTTTTTTTTTCCTGGAATATACCAAGTGAGTGACACAAGAATTGGGACTCTCCATTCCTGATTTAAATATTGGCCGTGTCCTTTCGAGATCATTTTTCTTGGTGACATGTTAGACAATCTCAGGTCAGTCTGTGTCCTTAAAGATCACTGTGGGTGTCAGGAATGCTGCTTACAGATGTACATGATGGGCACATGGAGGCGCCCTTCAGGGCCTTTGGCTCAGATCCCCATCCTGCTCTTAAAGAAAAGGGCATTCTGTTATTTATTTGTTGGATTTTAATTTCTGCCTCTAGCCCTCTAAGGCTTCTCCATGTAGTGCCATCCTCTGCTGCTGTTACCACCATCAGGGGTGGGGGTAGGGGTGCTGTACAGTTGGCGGCCAGAGGATGCCATTGAAAAGTGGAGAAGTCTTCACACTGCTCTTTGTGGAAGGACGGCCTCCCTTCCCGTGGGCAAACCCCGGGGCTGGAGCCCTCCCAGCTGCCCAGTGGCTTTTGTGTGTGTGCAGCTTTCAGCTCCTGTCCATCAGGCTGAAAGGGCCCATTCAGGGGCATTCATGCGCCTCCGAGACCCCGGCCGCCTGGACACAATCAGCTGAGAGGGGCGCTGCGAGCCTTGCACATGAGAATGCGCCCACTCGGCCTGCCTCCAATTGTTTGGAGAAGCCCAGGGCCCGGGAGTGAGCCCAGAGGAATGACACTGGACAGCCACTTGGGGTTCATTCATTCTGTGCACTTGGAGCCTCTGGAAGGGAGGGGTGGGAATACCTTGCAGTGAGCTGGGAATGAGCAAGTTCAGGGCTGCTAGGGCTTATCTTTGGTCCTGACCTTCAGCTTTTATCTTTGTGTACACCTCTTGGAGCCCCTGCTTAAGGGTAGAGACCTTGTCTTCTTTATCTTTATAGTCCCACATACCTGAGGCACTCAGTAAGTCCTTGTTGAAGGAGTGAACTACATTGCTGCTCCTTTCATATAGCCCCAGGCACACTGATGTACTTTACTGTCCTTTGAAGAGGCCACAGAATATTTTGCCTCTTGGGGTGTGATCACCTTACTGAAAAGACTGGGCTCACCTCTTAGGTCAAGGAGAGTAGACTTTGAGATCTTGGAGGGACGAAGGACATTTTCAAGGTGGGAAGTTGCCGTAGAACAGAGTGCTGATGGCCAGGGATCTGCATTTGGAATTTGAGAGGCTGAGTAAGGAGCACCATAGGCCTCTGCAGAGGCCAGTCTTGGGTGGCTGGTTTGCAGGAAAGGGCAGGACCTGGTGCTGACTTGGAACCAGTTGGTGGTAGATGTGGAGATGGGAGAATGGACTTCATGGACACTTACCATATGGCAGCCAACACCCTGGGAACCTCTGGCACCTGATGACTGACCTAGGAACATGGGGGAATGAAAAGCACAGGCCAAGATGCTAAGGAGCCTTTGTGTTTCTTAGTTTTACAAAATTGTGTTTAAGGATCACAGCAGCAGCAGTCACAGTAGTAGCCAAAGAGATAGTAGAATCTTCTATTTATTGGGAACTTACTGGACTAAGAGCTTTGTACATAATACTTCACTGACTTAAGCTGTTCTGTTGTTATATACACCCACGTATGAGTGGTAAGTGCTGCAGGCATTTTAAGGTAGGAAAGGTTATTATTCCCATTTATGGACGCAATACCTGAGGCTCAGAAATATTAAGTGGCTTCCCAAGGTGAGTGGCAGAGCTTCAGTGGAAACGGGGGCTTAGGCTCTTAGCAACTGAGGCGAGGGCTGCTGCCAGCATTAATGACTCTGGTGCAGTGAACTGAGTTATCTTTATAATTTCTCCTTCAATTTTAAGTGTTAAGAAAGAAGGAAGAAAAGGAAAAATACCTCTACTAGTCTTTAAGAGCCTTATAACTTATTTGGAGAAACGCAGCACACAATATAGAAACACTTGCCAAGCTGCCAGTGCCGAGTGGTGGTATCAGTGCTGAGGACAGATAGGGAAAAGCTTTCCTACTTGTCACATACCCTGGGGAGGTGATCACAAACCCACTGCATGGCCTTCCTCCCAAGGAAGGAGTTAGGTTGCCCCATGGCTAAGGGAGGGATGTAGAACCACTTAACATGACATTGGTTTCAAACCCTCTGGTCCCGCCAGCTTCTTCTGTTAGGCACAGGTGCTATGTGACATCTCACAGACCCTGATCTGGTGCCAGCCCAGGCCAGATCACCAAACCCTGCCTGGCCTCAGCTCCCTGCACTATGCAATGGTATAGAAGTGGGATGGCACCTCTCATAGGGTTAGTTAGTATTTGCATGCTGTGTGCTCTGTACTACTCTGTTTAGTGCATTTAGAAGTTGATTTCCTTGGCACGTGACTCATGCCTGTAATCCCAGCACTTTCGGAGGCTGAGGAGGGCAGATCACGAGGTCAGGAGTTCGAGACCAGCCTGATCAACGTGGTGAAACTCTGTCTCTACTAAAAATACAAAGATTAGGTGGGTGTGGTGGCAGGTGCCTGTAATCCCAGCTACTCGGAAGGCTGAGGCAGGAGAATCGCTTGCAGCTGGAAGGCAGAGGTTGCAGTGAGCTGAGATTTTGTCACTGCACTCCAGCCTGGGCAACAAGAGTGAAACTCCATCTCAAAAAAAAAAAAAAAAGAAGTTTATTTTATTTCCTCATTGGATGTGACCAACTTCCTACAAAGGGAAGAAACTTCATCTTCAAGTCCCTAGGATAAAGCTTTTCATAGGGAGGGGACAAAAATTTAACTCCAGGTCACCAAGAGAAGTCATTTTGCAGCATGGAACTTAGTGCACTTTTGTTTTCACTATGGTCCCAGAATCCATTTGTCCTCTGACAAGGGGACTCTGTGCTGCATAGGGCTGGGTGTTCCAGCTATGTAGCCCTGTGCCTGATGGCAGGTGCAGCCACAGTTAGCTGAGGGGCAGTGGTCTCCATTCAGAGGTCTGCTTCCTTCTACCCTATTTCACCCTAATGAAGATATGTCATCTTGCAAATGACTACATGTTTTCTATCCTCCTCATTTCTAATCCTGAATTTAAGCATTGGAAAGAGCTTGAGCAAATCAGTCAGCTACCGCCCCTCTCCCCCAAACTCAGTCTAGTCATCTGCAAAATGGAGCTAGCAGTGAAAACAGTATGTATTAAATGAGATGATACATGTGAAACATGTAGAGCTCTAATTTTATTTTTTTTTTATTTATTTTTTTGAGACAGAGTCCCGATCTGTTGCCCAGGCAGTGGTGTGATGTTGGCTCACTGCAACCTCCGCCTCCCGGATTCAAGCGATTCTCATGCGTCAGCCTCCTGGGTAGTTGAGATTACAGGCATGTATGCCCAACTGATTTTTGTATTTTTAGTAGAGATGGGGTTTTCAGCATGTTGTTCAGGCTGGTCTCGAACTCCTGGCCTCAGGTGATCCATCTGCCTCGGCCTCCCAGAGTGCTGGGATTACACGTGTGAGCCGTGGCACCTGGCCTAACTAATCTTTTTTTTTTTTTTTTTAAGTGCACTGCACTGAAGTGCAGTGGTGTGATCACAGCTCATTGCAACCTTGAACTCCTGGGCTCAAGTGATCCTCCTGCCTCAGCCTCCCGAGTAAGTGGGATACAGGCATGCACTACCATCCTTGGCTAATTTTTTTTAAATTTTTTGTAGAGAAATTTTTGTTTCTCTACCAAGTTTTTGTTGCCCAGGCTGGTCTTGAACTCATGGCCTCAAGCAATCCTCCCACCTCAGCCTCATAAAGCACCAGGATTACAGGCATAAGCCACTGTGCCCGCTCTGTCTTATCTAACTGGGTAATCACTCAATAAAATTAAGTTCTTATTTTTTCATTTGAATGAATTGTATCGATACCTGGGAGAAGCCAAAGGTTGCTTTGTTAGTTGTAACTCCGCTGACTGACCACCTTTGCTGTGCTTGATATTTATGTAGAGCACTCAGGCTAAAATGCCCATGGCTTCCCTGTCCTTTTATTCTCGTGGGTGATGGCGAGTAGAGCACAGAGGGCCAAGTGACTTGTCCAATCTGCGTAGACAGTAACAGTTCCCCATCCATGGCTCTTTCCACAGCTGAGGAGCCAAAGTCTCAGGCAGGTCTCAAAGCTGGCAAGTTTAAACTAAGTGATATTTAGTCTGGGTGGGATACTGATCATGCATTTTTCTTTCTTTTTTCTTGCTCTAAAGGGCATTATTAGGGCCGGGTGCAGTGGCTCATGCCTGTAATCTTAGCACTTTGGGAGGCCAAGGTGGCAGGATTGCTTGAACCCAGGAGTTCAAGACCAGCCTAGGCAACAAAGCGAGACCTCATGTCTATATTTAAAAATAAATAAGTAAATAAATAGAGGGCATTATCAGGACAGCTGGCAGCATTTGAATAAAGTCTGTGGATTGAGTGATAGTATTCTACCAGCGGTAGTTTTCTGTTCTTTGTTCCTTCTCCTCTACCACTGCTCCACTTGACTAGCCTTAAAAAATAAAAAGCAATTAAAATAAATAAGATGGCAATTTTATGACTAGGTAAACTGGTATTGTAAGAAAATGTCTTTTTTGGGAAATACAGAAGTATTTAGACAAAAGGGGACATCATGTGTGCATCTTACTCTAAAATGGTTTGGGGAAAAATGCATATAGAGAGAGAGATAAAGTAAGTGTAGTTAAATGTTAACATTTGGGGTATGTAGGTGAGTGGTATGTGGAAGTTCATTTTACTATTCTTGCAACTTTTGTATAAGTCTGAAATTATTTTAGTATTTAAAAGTTTAAAAAAAAAAAGGCCCTCCTGTGGCTGAGGTGGTAGGAGGGTTAGTGTGAAAAGATGGGAGAGGGGCTATGGGATGGAGAGGGGTGGGGCAGAACCCTGGAAGGTGACCCCCTGGGAGTGGATGGCTGAAGACATGTGAATGAAGAGAGGAGAAGGGGGGAATAAACTGAATAAGAAAAGTCCCCCAAACAGAGCACCTTCCCACCGAAACAGGAGGGATTACCTTCGGGAAATGATGTGGGCAGACTCTAAGGCATTGCCAAGTTGGAATTACAGAATTCAGGAGTGGTGGCTCACACCTGTAATCCCAGCACTTTGGGGAGGCCAAGGCGGGTGGATTACTTGAGGCCAGGAGTTCGAGACCAGCCTGGTCAACATGGCAAAACCCCATCTCTACTAAAAATACAAAAATTAGCCGGGTGTGGTGGCGCACGCCTGTAATCCCAGCTACTTGGGAGGCTGAGGCAGGAGAATCAGGCTGATAATGAGCCAAGAGAAGAGGAGAAACCAAGTCTGCCAGGAGAAATATGAATTTGGACCTTGGAGAATGAAAATTGTAGGAAAAGTAGGCAGGGTAGATGGGCAGGGAAACCCAAAGCATGGTCAGGGCATCTTCTGAGGATGATGGGGATCCTGCAACTAAGCCAGCCAAACTTGAGTCTAGAATTGTGTGCCCCCAGGTGCCCTTGAGCCCAGGGTAAATAGCTGGTGTGATTACAGCAACCAGCAGTGTGTGCCATATCACAGTAAACACTCCAGGAGTGGGTTCTCACAGAAGAATCAGGAGGAAACCCCTGGCATGAGATTCAGAGCAGAATCCCCCTCAAGTTCTTGGATGGTGGCAGCAGCTGCTGTGGAGTCTCTGTTGCAAGCTTTTAGTTCGCAGGCACACTGGTTCAAGTTTAATCACCACAAAAATACTGCTTTGTGTGAAAATAATACATGAGTAGTCCTTATTGCAAAAGGTTCAAAGCAAACAGAAGGAATACATCAGAGGCCTCTTTCAGCTCCACCCCCCAGTCCCACCCCCGAGGTAACAGGTGTGGACAGTTCGTCTCCCTACAGTCCTTTTTCGCAGCATTTGCCCTATGGCGTAGTGGCTGGGACTGTGGGCTTTGAAGCAAGATCATCTGGGTTCACCAACTACCTCCACTACCTACAAACCTTGTAACCTTGAGCAAGTTACCTACCCTTTTCTCTGCCTACATTTTCTCATCTGTAAAGTCAGGATAATAACAGTCTAGACCTAATAGGGTTGTCATGGAGACTGAATGAGTTGGTAGGTGAAAAGAACCAGCACCTGGCACAGTCAGTGCTCAAGAAATGTTAACGTGCATGGGACGTGGTGGCTTATGCCTGTAATTGCAACACTTTGGGAGGCTGAGGCAAGAGGATCACTGGAGCCCAAAAGGTCAAGGGTGCAGTGAGTTGTGATTGTGCCACTGCACTTCATGCTGGGTGACAGAGCGAGGAGACACTGTCTCAAAAATAAATCAATAAATAAGATCTCATTACATATGAAGACCGATTTTCTTGCTTGCTTGCTTTTTGCTTGCTTTTTTGCTTTCCTTTCTTTTTTTCCTTCTTTCTTTTTTTGAGACAGGGTCTCACTCTGTTGCCCAAGCTAGAGTGCAGTGATGGGATCATGGCTCACTGCAGCCTCAACCTCCCAGGCTCAGGAGATCCTCTCACTGCAGCCTCCCGAGTAGCTGGGACTAGAGGGGCACGCCACCACCCCCGGCCAATTTTTGTATTTTTTGTAGAGATGGGGTCTCGCCATGTTGCCCAGACTGGTCTCATAATCCTGGGCTCAAGCCATCCTCCTGCCTCGGCCTCCCAAAGTGCTGGGATTACAGGTGTGAGCCACCATACCTGGCCCTATTTTCTTTCTTAAAAACCATAAAAAGAGTCCTACTCTGAATATTTTTATCAGTAGCATTCTTAGTTTTGAGCAGTAGGTATCAGCTGACTGAGATCAGAAAAAGGATTTCTTTAAAGGACATTGGGGTGGTTCCCAGTCTTGCTGGGATGGCTGTGGACTCAAACCATGGAGACCAGGCAGCAGCCCAGTCTGCACCCACAATAGTCACAAAACCAGAGTGGTGAGGACACTGTGCTGTTGATGTTGCTGGCATTTCCAGCTTCCAGAGTGGGAGGTGAACCCTGCGTCCTGCCAGGACTCATACGAGAAGCAGGGATTCCTAAACTCGGGACAGGAGTTCAGATGCCAGGGGCAAGTGTATCCCTGAATAGTTTATGATTCATTTGAGCCTTTTGTGCCCACATAAACGATGTCATTCTTCTTCTCTTAAAGACAAACTTCGCTATATTGCTTAGGCTGGACTCAAACTCCTGGGCTCAAGGGATCCTCCCACCTCAACATCCTGAGTAGCTAGGACTATAGGCGCAGGCCACTGCACCCAGCACATGTTATTCTGCACATTTACCTGTGCCAGGTGCTGTGCAGCAGTGATTCTCAGCCCAGCAGCACATTGGAATTACCTGGGGAGCTTGGATGATTTGGAATGTCCAGGCCGGGCCTGGTGGTAGGTCCCAGCCATCAGGACTATTTTTTTTTTTTTTAAGAGACAGGGTCTCACTATGTTGCCCAGGCTGGTATTAAACGTTTGACCCCAAGTGATGCTCCCACCTTGACCTCCTAAAGTGCTGGGATTACAGGTGCAAGCCACCACACCCAGCCCGGACTTTATAAGGTTCCAGGTGATTCCAATGTGTAGTCAAGGTTAATAACCACAGCTTCTAGAGGATAGTGCATTTAATAATCACCTCTATATTGGGTAGGTGATGTTTTTCTGAATTTATACATGGGAAACCAAGCCTGAGAAAGCATTCCTGCCTTGCTTTATGTCACCCAGTAAGTGAGGCATTCCCACTGCCCAACCCCTTCCCCTGACTGCAGTGACTGCTGCTGCTTGCCTGGATGGGGAGGAGGAGCAAGCCTCTTCCTCAGCCCCCGGCACTCCCCAGCCACACCAACCTGCCGCAGGCCATCCAAACTCCACGGTTTCAGGGCCTTGCGTGCAGGTTTCTCTGCCTAGGTTGGTGTTACCTCACTTCTCACTTGGACAGTTTCCACTTACCACCCCCAGCCTAAGTAAGTCCTCCTCTTCTTTTTCCTTTGTGTTACTAAAACAGTATGTGATTGTATATGTATTAATATGTATTAATCCGAGCACTTTGCAGGGCCGAGGAAGGTAGATCACCTGAGGTCAGGAGTTCGAGACCAGCCTGGCCGACACGGTGAAACCCAGTCTGTACTAAAAATACAAAAATTAGCCAGGTGCGGTGGCAAACGCCTGTAATCCCAGCTATTTGGGAGGCTGAGGCAGGAGAATCGCTTGAACCCGGGAGGCAGAGGTTACAGTGCACCACTGCACTCTAGCCTGGGCAACAAGAGCGAAACTCTGTCTCAAAAAATATATATATATTTCGGGAGTGGGGTGGCACAAATAGGCAGAATGTCTGCTAAGGCTCCTTGTGGGACAGTGATGAAAGAAACACCAACAAACACTGATGCGACTAAAGGCTATCCTAGGATCAAAAGGCAGTCTACTAAAAGTCCATTAATTAGCATTTGCTACCACTTATCTGTGGAAATTAAGATTTTTTTTTGGTTCTCTGCAATCAAAACAAAATTCAAAAATAAAATATTAGCTGATGTGGCTGATATAAGACAACTGTCAATCGTCACCCTGCCTTTTAGGATGCAGCAAAACACCTTTGTTCTTCTTACAGATTCATCTGATTTTTGTGTTGGAGATTTGAGATTTTGCTCGTTACTGAAAATGTTTCCTCTGCTGAGAGTTTGAGCAGCCTCCTGGTTGTGCAGAGTGGCCAGGGTTGGGCTCAGCTGGCCAGGTGGCAGGTGCAAAGCAGGGTTCTAGAAGAGAGTCTGCCTGTGGCCTCATAGGGGTAACTTACTTCAGTGAGCAGTGTTGGGTGCCTGAGTGAGGAAGTAGAGGTGGCAGAGGAGGGGTCCAGTGGGCTGTCTGGGCCATGTGAGGCTGTCTGCAGGACTCCTCAGAAAGGTTCAGGACTCACGTTCAGTGCAAGGGAAGACAAAGACCTTTATTGCTACAAAGTTGGGTGGGAGACTGAAGTCCTCAGATGGTCTACAAGCTTGAAAACCAAATCAAGTTGACCAACAACCTTCAGTTACAGTCATGTGGTATTGCTGCGACTTCTGAATTTCCCATTTGGGGTTTTATTAGCTTTTAGTAAAAGGCGACATTGTGAAGAAACCCAGATTAGAATTCAGTTTATAAAACAGCTGAGTGAGAAAGTGGGATAGGGGAGCCAGGGAACTACATAGAAAATCATTGAGCAATTACTCAACACAATTAGAGCCCAAACACCACCATCTCATGTGCACTCCTTGAGCTGGCAAGTAGGGAAGGGGGTGCAGAGCCGGAGCTCAGGGAGAGGTGTCCGTGGCTCCCTCACTTCTGGTCTCAGAGGCCTGGAGTGTCCTCTGTTCTGAGCATTTTCCACAGGCAGGGGCTGGTTTCAGGCCCAGACAGACTCCCAAAGCTAAACAAATGAGCAGCCCTCGCTGGCCATGACTTTGCCATTTAGAAGTGGCTTTGGGGCTCCAGAATGAATGGGGAGCCTAATGCAGACCCAACTGACCAACTTCGGCAGCTTTGGGGAAAGTAATAAAAATGAGCCCAGGGGTTTGAGACAAGCCTGGGCAACAAAGTGAGATCCCGTCTCTACAAAAAATTAGCTGGGTGTGGTGGCACACGCCTGTGGTCCTAGCTACTCTGGAGGCTGTGGCAGGAAGATCGCATGAGCCCAAGAGGTTGAGGCTGCAGTAAGCTGTGTTTGTGACACTACACTCTAGCCTGGGTGACAGAATGAGACCCTTTCTCCAAAATAAAAAGAAAAAAGAAAATGAGACCAGTAGTGATCTAAATAAGTGAGCACTTTGGGATGGCTTCCCAGAGATAAGTAGGTGATGTAAACCTCATCTTCCCAGCCCTGTAAAGAAAAAAGGTTTTTTGTGGGGGTAGGAGGAGGCTCCATTTCATCAAATCTGAAGGTGGACTTGAGAGTTTATAGTTTTCCCAGACTGTGAGGCTCCACCCAGGCTTTCTGTCTCTGCCAGTGCCAAGATGCTGCCTGTCCTACCACCTGTGCTGAGAGGGTGTCCCTAATGTCCATGATGGTTCAGGCTGGAGTAACTAGAAAAAGAACTCAGTTTCCTTCCCAAGGAAGAAACTGTAATTCAGTCCCTGCCCAGCTCACAATGGTGATCTCAGTATGTCTCTTAGCCATTTTGCATTTAAGATTCTCTGTCTATAAAATGGCAATCTGCTGATCTTAAAAAAAATGTGGAAGAGACAATAAAATAAAATCCCAGTTCTACTGAGTTCTAACAGCCAGAAACCGTGAGCCATTTAAAATTTTGTTTGTCTCATGTTTATGAGAAAGGATAAAATAACAGATATCTAAACCAACACCAGGGACTCTTTTAAAAGCTCAAATTCTAGGGCAGTGGTTCTCAACTCAGGCTGCACATTAGAGTCAACTGGGGAGCTTTTGAAAACACCAGTCCCCAAACTCCACCCCAGACCAATTAAATCATAATCTCTAGGAAGGAGGTCCAAGCGTCTGTATGTCTTTAAAAGCTCCCCGAGTGATTCTAATGGGCTGCCAGGGTTGGGAGTCATTGTTGGGGTATGCCAGTTGGATATAAAGATTCAGATTTATTTCCAGAAATATTATACAAGATAATTTTTTTATTTCTCTAATAGCTGAAAAATATATCTTATTTATTTATTTTATTGAGATATAAATCACATACCATGAAATTCATCCTCTTATTAAAGTATGCAGTTCAGTGGCTTTAGTATACTCACGGAGTTGTGCAACCATCACCACTCTCTAATTCCAGAAAAAACCCTTAGCTGTTAGCAGTCACTCTCCTTTATCTCCTGACAACCACTCCTCTACTTTCTGTCTCCATGGAGTTGCCCATTCTAGGCATTTCGTCAGATGGAGTCATACAACATGTGGCCTTTTATGTCCAGCTTTTTTCACTTAGTCTAATGCTTTCAGGGTTCACCTATATTGTAGCGTGTATCTGTACTTCATTCCATTTTATTTTTGGATAATATCCCATCGTGTGGATATCCCACATTTTGTTTGTCGATTCATCCATTGGTGGACGTTGGGGTTGTTTCCACTTTTTGGCTATTGTGGACAGTGCTGCTGTGAGCATTCTTGTACAGGTTTTTGTAAGGACATATGGTTTCAGTTATATTGGGTATACAGTTGACCTTTGAACTATGCAGGGGTTAGGACGCCAACCCCTCATGCAGTCGAAAATCCATGTATAACTTTTGGCTCCACAAAACTTAACTACTAATAGCCTACTCTCGATTAACAACTTATTTTGTAGGCTATATGTATTATATACTGTATTCTTACAATAAAGTAAGCTAAAGAAAAGGAAATGTTATTATGAAAACCATAAGGAAGAGAAAATACTGTATTAATACCATAAGTTTACATTGTCTGTCTACAAGAGGAATTGTTTGTCTGAAATGACAGGCAACTACACAGCTGCAGACCTCAATTTCTGGTACATATCAAGCAATTCAACTTTTTCCTGTAATGTCATGACTCTTCTCTTTTCTTGGGAGCACTTTCAGCATCACTAGTGGCACTTCATATGGGGCTCATGGTATTATTCAGGGTTTATGGTATTGCACTAAACACGATGAAAACTACATGAGAACCGCAAGAGATCACTTTTTACTGGAATAAGCAGTTTACTGGAGAGATGAGCAGCTCACATAGAGATCACTAGCATCTAGCTGTTGGATACCTGCGACACTTGAGTTACCTGCGACACTTGAGTTACCTGCGACACTTGAGTTCACGGCAATAGCAACAGGAGGTGGCTGTGAAATTATTACAATAGTGGCCAGGCACGGTGGCTCACGTCTGTAATCCTAGCATTTTGGGAGGCCGAGGTGGGTGGATTACCTGAGGTCGGGAGTTCAAGTCTAGCCTGGCCAACATGGTGAAACCCTGTCTCTACTAAAAAATATAAAAAATTAGCTGGTGCAGTGGTGTGCGCCTGTAATTCCAGCTACTCAGGAGGCCGAGGCACAAGAATTCGCTTGAACCTGGGAGGCGGAGGTTGCAGTGAGCCAAGATCACACTACTGCACTCTAGCCTGGGCTACAGAGAGAGACTTCGTCTCAAGAAAACAAAAACAAAAACAAAAAAATTATTACAGTCATACAGTATGCACTGTATTTAATTTTATGCAGTGATTATATTGCATCTTTATGTTTGTTTACATTTCTCTGACTATAAATGGTGCCATGTACAGTCTGTGTGTGCAAAAGTTTTGATAAATTTTAATGTTTTATGATAGATTTATGGATATTTGTGGTAGTAAATGATAAAATAGACTAGTATCTACGTAGATTTGATGCATTCATGACATACCTTTTTCTTAATTTTTTCAGCATTTCTAGGCTACATAGTTTACAAGTTTTTCCAAATTGTCACAAATCTCCAAAAAATGTTCCAATATATTTATTGAAATAAATTCACATGTAAGTGGATCTACAAAGTTCAAACCTGTTTTGTTCAAGGGTCAACTGTATATCTAGGAGTGGAATTGCTGGGTTGCGTGGTCACTTTATGTTTAACCATTTGAGGAGCCGCCAGCCTGTTTTCCAAAATGGCTACACCATTTTACATTGCCATCAGCAGTGTATGAGGGTTCCGGTTTCTCTACATCCTCATCAACACTTGGCATTATTTTCTGTCCTTTTGACTATAGCTATCCTAATGGATGTGAAGTGGTATGTCATTGTAGTTTGGTTTACCTTTTCCTGATGGCTAATGAAGTTGGGTACCCTTTAATGTATTTATTGGCCATTGTTAAGTCTTCTCTGGAGAAATGTCTATTCAAGTCTTTTGACTTTTTATTTATTTATTTATTTATTTATTTATTTTATTTTATTTTTTTGAGATGGAGTCTCACTGTCACCCAGGCTGAAGTGCAGTGGTGCGATCTCAGCTCACTGTAACCTCCACCTTGCAAATTCAAGTGATTCTCCTGCCTTAGCCTTCTGAGTAGCTGGGACTACAGGCACATGTCACCATGCCCAGTTAATGTTTTGTATTTTTAGTAGAGATGGGGTTTCACCGTGTTGGCCAGGCTGGTCTCTAATCCTGACCTCAAGTGATCTGCCTGCCTTGGACCCCCCAAAGTGCTGGGATTACAGGCATGAGCCACCATGCCCGGGCTCTTTTGACCTTTTAAAATTGAGTTATTTGTCTTTTTATTGTTGAGTTGCAAGAGCTCTTTCTTTATGTATTCTGGGTACTAGATCCTTATTAAATACATTATTTGCAAATATTTTCTCTCATTCTGTGGGTTGTCTTTTCACTTTCTTTGTAGTATTCTTTGAAGCACAAAAGTTTTTAATTTTGATGAAGTCTAATTTAGCTATATTTTCTGTTATCATTTGTGCTTTAGGTGTCATATCTAAGCAACCACTGCCTAGTCCTAGGTCATAAAAAATATGTCTTTAATTTATTCTAAGATATTTATAATTTCAGTTCTTAGAGGTCTTTGATCAATTCTGAGTTAATTTTTACATACAGTGTTAGGCAGATTTTATCACTCCAAAAAGGTAGGAGTACAGCTTCATTCTGTGCAAGATAAGTTGATCATATTAGAATATTAGAGCAGGCCACGGGGCTTGGGAGCTCTAGTCCCTTATTGTAATGGTGAGGCACGTAAGGTACTGTGAGGTTCAATTGAGAGATAAACACTGACTCTAAAGGCCTATTTGAACCTAAAGTACCTCCGAACTCTTTTTCTTTTTTTTTGAGACAGAGTCTCGCTCTTTCGCCCAGGCTGGAGTGCAGTGGTGCCATCTAGGCTCACTGCAAGCTCCACCTCCTGGGTTCACGCCATTCTCCTGCCTCAGCCTCCCAAGTAGCTGGGACTACAGGCACCCGCCACCACGCCCGGCTAATTTTTTGTATTTTTTTGGTAGAGACGGGGTTTCACCATGTTAGCCAGGATGGTCTTGATCTCCTGACCTCGTGATCCGCCCGCCTTGGCCTCTCAAAGTACTGGGATTACAGGCATGAGCCACCGCGCCCGCCCAGTACCTCCTAACTCTTATGAAAGGTTAAAGTGTATTCTCCATAGTTTCTCTGTTCAGTCAATTTTAATAGCATTTCTAACATTGGGAAGCTATAACTTATTTCTGAGGTATTATGTGTATCTTAACACCAGAACATGACCAGAACATTGCATGGCTCTGTCACAGGTGAGTTGCCAAACTCACTGTCATATTTTTAAAGATCTTAATTCTTTGGTAGATAACCAAGATTAGTTGAAATGCATGTTCAGATTATGGATACATCAGACTCAGCTAAATGGAAAATGTATACCATAGAAGAAAATATATTCCAATCAGACATGGTGGCTCACGCCTGTAATTCCAGCACTTTGGGAGGCCAAGATGGAAGGATCACTTAAGGCCAGGAGTTCAAGACCAGCCTGAGCAACATAGCAAGACCCTGTCTCTACAAAAAAAAATTTTAAATTAGCCAGGCGTGGTGGTGTGTGCCTGTAGTCACAGCTACTCAGGAGGCTGAGGTGGGAGGATCACTTGAGCCCAGGAGGTCGAGGCTGCAGTGAGCCATGTTCACACCACTGCACTCCAGCCTGGGTGACAGAGTGAGACCCTATCTCAAAAAAAGAAAAAAGAAAAAAAAAGGAAAGAAAGAAAGAAAAGGAAGGAAGGGAAGAAGGGAAGAAAATAAATTCTAAATAGATTAAAAAGAAGTTTAAAAAACTTAAAAGATACCTTTAACAGTATTGAAAACGATGTTGAAGCATCCTATAAAAGCCACAGCAAGTGATAATGATGTGATAATAGATGAAAAGAACGCAAGGGAAATCTCCTAAACGACTCAAACTATACAGGGAGGGGCGGTTTGGAAGGGGGAGTTAGATCCCTACCTCATGCCACACTCAAATATATCAACTGAATGAAAGATTTATTTCATTATTCTTTTTATATTTAATAAAGAGATGCTTGCTAATGGAGGTAAAAAAAATCAAACAGTACAAGTAAAATGAAATTCTTCCTTGATTTTCTTTTCCCCTCTCTGCCTAGCTCCACTTCACTCACTGCTATTTGGTGTGTGTTCTTCCTGGCTGGTTTGAATATATACATATACAACTACTATGTATTATTTTGTGGATTTTTTAACACAAAGAGGATTCTGTTATTTCTATTTGATAACTTGCTTCCCCCCCCCCCCCCACTTAATAGGGTATCTCAGAGACCTTTCGATGTCAGTACATACGCGCTTACCTCATTCTAATTAGCCACTGTGTGGTATTCCATAGTAGAGATGTACCTTGTAAGCATTCCCATGTTGGTAGGCATGTTAAGAAGAAAAAAAGAACATACTTGAACACACCTTTGTGTGCCCAAACTAGTCTTTCTCCAGCATAGATTGCTAGTAGTAGATTTACTGGGTCTGATAGTATTTGTGCATTTTATTTTATTTTATTTTGTAGAGGCGGGGTCTTACTATGTTGCCCAGGCTGGACTTGAACTCCTGGGCTTAAGCAAACCTCCCACTTCAGCCTACCAAGTAGTTGGAACTGTAGGCACGTGCACCACGCCCAGCTAGCATTTTAAATTTTAATAAATTCTGCCAAAATACCATCCAAAAAAAGGCTTTGTGAAATTACACTGTAATGAATAGTATGGGAGTGATACCCTTGCCAACTTTTTAAAAATTTAAATTAATCCAATGGGCAGAAATTATACCTCATTTAAATTTTTTTTTTTAATAAGCAGAGAAAATACTTGTAGAAGGTATTACTTAGTTTTGTTTGTTTTTTTTCTTTAGTCTATACACAGAAAACTACCTGGGGCTCTCTTTGACAGCACATAAACTAAAATTGGAACAGTACAGAGAAGAGTAGCATGGCTCCTGTGCAAGAATGATGCACACATTTGTGAAGCGTTTCATATTTTAAACAACATATTTAGAGATAGAAAAGGGAAAACTACCTAGAAGTGGAATGAGATTAGGAGAATTAGGAGGATTAGTTAGAATTTTTTCTGGTTAGAATTTTTATTTTCTAAATTGAAATTCTAGTTTCAAGTTGTTTTAAAATAATACAATTTTAGTTTCAAGTTGTTTTAAAATAATAAATGTATATTGCTTTTGGAACTTGAAAAAGAATAAAGATATTTTTTAAAAGAAAAATAAAGCCCTCTTGCAGCATAATTTACGTTGCATTTTCTCTCTCAGTGCTGAGCAGGCCTAGAGTTGAAGGTCGTGAGTGAACTGTATATTAAAAGCCTTTGTCTTCCGGCTGTAGCAATACCATACTTCTGTATGGCCAATTGTCAACTAAAGCCTGTATCTTGAAATGATGGACTCATGTGCAGATAGATTGTTGTGTGCATCTACACTCCCGGCCTGTTCATAGAAGACTTCCGGGGCAGCAAGCAGAAATGCTTGTCAGCCCACATTGTTTTTTTTTTTTTTTCAATACAGAGTCTCTGTTACCCAGTCTGGAGTACAGTGGTGTAATCTTGGCTCGCTGCAGCCTCTGCCTCCCAGGTTCAAGCGATCCTCCCACCTCAGCCTCCCAAGTAGCTTGGATTACAAGCCTGCTAATTTTTGTATTTTTTTTTAGTAGAGAAGGGGTTTCACCATGTAGGCCAGGCTGGTTTCGAACTCCTGACCTCAAGTGATCTACCTGCCTTGGCCTCCCAAAGTGTTGGGATTACAGGCGTGAGCCGCTGCACCCAGCCTCCATATTCTTTATTCTAGCTGCTCAAGCAGTTTTCTCCACACCTGTGCTTCTTTAAAACAGTGGACTTGATGGAAAAATTGAATGTTACCACTTTAGTTGGATCCTGGAGATGGATAATTCATTGATAAGGACTGCCATCCACTTGGATGCTTTCTTCAGAGCCCTGTCACCAAGAACAGATTGGCAGTCCATTCTGTAATTCACAGCATACCTTTATTGCTGACAAAGTTCCAAGTGAAGGTACCTGTTAGCTGGGGCTATTAACTCCCTCTTGTTGGGCTCCTGTACCCTGTCTGCAGGGGCTAGGGCCAGTGGCCATGATGAGAAATGAGCACACGTGGCTCAAGAACAGAGCCTGTGATTTGCCCATTGGTACTGAGTCCACCTTGGTGGGAAGTCAGTGGCAATTCTTCCACCCACACACCACTGACCTTGCCTTGTTGGTGGCCATCTTGTGTGTTGGCTCTTGACCAGAGACGCTCTGCAGTCACTCTGTGGGGCTGTTTGACCACAAAATGTGTCACTGGGTTAGTGGTTTTATGCCAAGGTAAGATTCTGATAGAAGGCAGTTAAGGTGGTAGTGTAAAAGCTGCATGAACAATCATGGTTCTTCTTGAATACAAAACAGTAATCTCTGCCACTAATTCATTGACTGCCAAGTCCCAGGCTCTGGGATGGGTACTCTTTGTAAGTCATGATTTCATTTAATTTCCCAAAAAGTCCATCCCATCACCTGTAATCTCACAGCTAGCATGTGGCCGACACTATATTGAGAGTGGGGTTTGTGCTAATCCAGACTCAGCAAAATCTTGACTACTGGGACCCTTTCATCTCATCCAACATATTTGAGGGATCTCCTGTGGGCCAGGCACTGATCCTAGTGCTGGAAGTCCAGAGATAATGCCTCCCTTCAAAGAGTTTCTAGTTCAATAAAGAGAGCCTCATTTAATCAAAAGTGTTGCACATACTATAATTTTAGGAGAAAATTAATCCCAGGAAACAAACGTCTTAGGAGATATTTTACTCTAGGAAAAAAAGATAATCCAATCTTTTAAGGATTTGTTTTTAGGACAATACACATTAAATCATTCTCCTGAATGTGAATGTTGACACCACTCTCTGGTCAGAAATGTCATTCAGAACAACAGTGTTAAGGCGCGTGCGTGGTATTCTGTCACCCAAAATGTGTTAGCTATGTTTACTCCTCATACCAAGATTTTTCTCAGACACTCAAGAAGCATCTTCACTGATGCAGAACAAATAGGAATTTAAACCCACATTTTCATAATTGATTTTAGTACTCTTTTATAATCAGTGTAGGGGCAAACATTTTAAGTTTGTTCATCCCTTCTATAAATCTTGTAAATAAAGTTAATACTTGCATGTCACTGATGAATTCACTTCCAAGTTACTGCCTGTGACCTACCATGCACACAAAGCAGTGGTTGCTGGCAGGTGTGGCCTGACCCTTGTTGTCTTTCACACCACTTTGTCCCTCAGTCACAACCACCAAGCTCCGTCCACTGCACCTGCCCACGTCCTGTGTGCTCTGCACATCCCTGATTCCCTAATCATACACAGGTTCCTCCTTTTTCCTTTCTCACAGCACCCTTGGCACTTATCTGAAACATAGCTTTGTATTTTTTTGTACACACAGCTGCCGGCTAGCTATCCCTCCAAGAGCAAATACTGTGTCTGTTCTCTTCACCCATTTATAAAATGGTCATCATGGTGCCTCACTCATCATTAGCTTTTACTAAAGGGTGGGTAGATGGAACGTGAAAGGGTAGGTGGGTGGATGGATGGACAGCTGGAATAGTTCTTTCACCAAGCAGAGATGGCCCCTAACTTATGATGGTTTGACTGAACAATTTTTTGATTTTATGGTGGTGCAAAAGTGATACACGTTCAGTAGAAACCGTACTTCAGTGCTGTATTCAACAGATTACATTAGATATTCAACACTGTTATTAAAAAGGCTTTGCGTTAGGTGTTTTTGCCCAACTGTAGGCTAATGTAAGTATTCTGAGTGTAAGGTAGGCTAGGCTAAGCATTGATGTTCAGTAGATTACGTCTATTAAATGCATTTTTTTTGGGGGGCGGGGACAGAGTCTTGCTCTGTCGCCCAGGCTGGAGTTCAGTGGCGCCATCTCGGCCCACTGCAAGCTCTGCCTCCCGGGTTCACGCCATTCTCCTGCCTCAGCCTCCTGAGTAGCTGGGACTACAGGCGCCCGCCACCACACATGGCCAATTTTTTGTGTTTTTAGTAGAGACAGGGTTTCACCGTGTTAGCCAGGATGGTCTCGATCTCCTGACCTTGTGATCCACCAGCCTCGGCCTCCCAAAGTGCTGGGATTACAAGTGTGAGCCACCACACCTGGCCTATTAAATGCATTTTTGACTTAGTATATTTTCAGCCTACAATGGGTTTATCAGGATATAACCCCGTTGTAAGTGGAGGAACATCTGTACTTGAGTATGGGGTACTTTCTAGTACTGGCCTGTTGCAGTGAATCAGATGTCACCTCTCAAGTCACCTTCTGGCAGGAGAGAGAGACATACGTATACAGCGTGTCAGGTGGGAAAGGGCACTATGAGCAAATAGAGCAGATAAAGCAGAGTAAGGCAGGTAGAGAGAAGAGGTGGGGATGTTGTTGTCCGTGTGTGTCACCGCATGGAGAAGGTGATATATAAGCAGAGACCCGAAGGAAGTGAAGGGATGAACCGTATCCAGTTCATGGCTAAATTCTCACCATTCCATGTTTTCAGAGTGAATTCTATCTGTGTGTCTATCTTGTCTCATGGTGCAGTTTTAGTTTTTGCCACACATCTAAAGCTAAATACACCAGGTTTAGTGGAAGAGGGCCTCTGGAAGGATGGAAATGGGAGCTGCCTCTTTTTGTGGAAGGGACAATTCCAGGGTGGGAAAAAGATATTTATGGGCCACATTTTTTATATCTTCAATTTACTTTTTATTATCTTGAGGAAGTAATAGATCATTGAAAATGTGAATTTTTTTACTTCTCCTGTTGAGAGACAATATGAAGTTAATAAGAACAAGATTACTTTACAAAACATTCTGGGCTTGGCAGGTTCAGCCTCATTTGTATGTCATTGATTTCTTTACATTTTTCTCTGCATCTGTTGTAGGATTTTACAGGAGTCATAGAATAACGGGGTCAAATATTTCTCTTAATCTGAAAGGCGCCACATTAAAACAGGGTGGTCTGGTTGTAAGCGTTTCCTCCGAGTGGGACAGACGAATGTTACATATCCAGTTCAGGTAGCAGGCAAGCTGTTTCCGATTGCCAGGAAGGCCCTTAGAACCAGCTGGCCTTCGTTAAGTTAGGCTAGAGAGCGAATAAGGCAGTATATCTCTAAGCAGTAGCCCAAAGAGGAAAGTGATTGCTGTCTCCAATGGAGGGATCACAAAGGTGTGGAGGCCTGAGTGACCTGTTCACCTTCCTTTGCCTGCAACTGTGGACACAGTTATATGTGAGGTGGTGGCACTTGTCCTATTCGGGTACATGCATGAGATGGAAAGGCTTAGCTGACCATTCTGCAGCCCTTTCCAAACTAGGTGTTTCAGTGGCAGTGCCAGTACTTGCTGGGAATCCTGCTGCTTTTCCTGTGGTCTGCCCGTTGCTTATGCTCTGAAAAGGCACTGTTTGAAACCTCAATGCCCTAAGGAGCATCTTGGGTGAGAAGAGAGATTGGGAAACTACACAGAGGATGCTCAGGAACTTCAAACCTGGAAAATGCCAGGGCAGTAATTCTCAGAGTGTGGTCCACAGACCCCTGCTTCAGAATCATCACAGGTGCTTGTCGAAATGCAGACTCCTGGGCCCATTCCAAAGCGCAGAAGGTGCAGCACTGGAATTAAGGGGCTGTCTCCCAGGGGTGACAGGCACATACACCCAGGCAATGGGGAGCGACACCTTTGCACAGAAACCCACCGAGGCAGCTATTGCATTTCCTGATTATGAGGTGATTTATTTCCTCTAAAAATGTATCCTATAGCCCTTTCCCAGGGAGTCTAATTTAGCAGATCTGGGGTGGTTCCAGACAGGGAAATCAGTTAGAATATTAATGAATTAGGAAACTGTTTTCATTTTTTAGCAGGGATCTCTGTTTGAGACATGGGTGTCTCTTGGTAAACTCTAAGGCAATTGGATCTCCATATTCTTAGAATCCTGGCAAAGGGGAGAATTCAGAAGGGCCCCACCTAGGCTGTGCCCATGATGAACTGGATATAGTCTTCACAGGTCAGTGTTGATTCAGCAGTATTTCTTGAGACCAGCCCTGGGTGAGGCCCCATGGGGAACACTCCCAGCCATGTTACCATTAACTGGCTCCTTATAGTAACCCAGCTGTGCCTTTCCCCTTGCCTCCTCTGAGAGGCCTCGCTCCTGCCTGGCCCCTTCCCCACACACATGGGCATCCCCATCTTCATTCTACCTTCTGCCCTGCTGGGGAGGCTGAGGGCCCAGCACAGCTATGGCCCCTGGCTGGAGCCCTGTAGTTTCTCCCCTTGGCAGGCATCTCCACTAGTGCCATAGGGTTGGTGCTAGGTAGACAAGTGTGAAGGGCTAGGAGAGGAGGACAGGGGTTTTGCATTGGCACAGTAGCCAAGACAGCAAAGGTTGGAAAAGAACAGGTAAAACTATCACAGTTTGCAGATTGTCTACCTGGAAAACCCAAGAGAGTCAAGTGAAAACACCATAGCCAAGATTTGTCCAGGGGAGGAAGAGGTTTCACCAGGCCATTGAAGGAAGTTTCAGACAACAGTGCGGAGGGAGGGCTGGGTTCATCCAGGTTGTTCCCAGCCCTTTGTCCTTGTCTGTTAGGGCCTCTTTCTTCCATGGGGCGTGGCAAGGGAATAGCGACTTAGTGTTCTAAATAATAACATGGTCATTTCCGGAGTACTTGCCATGTGCCAGGCATCATTCTAAACATGTATGTTAACTAATTTAATCCTCACAACAGCCCTGTGAGGTGGCGATTTCGGTCAGCATCATCTCATTACCTCCACATGCAGGGAGGGAAAATGAAGTGTGGAGAATCGCAGCAACCTGCCTAAGGGTCACATAGCTAACAAGTGGCAGAGCCCAGGAACCTGCGCGAGGCACCACCCACTCTGCACTGCCTCCCGTCACACAGCAAGATGGGTCTATCTCCCAGAGGCACCTTGACTTCTGCACTCATAAAATAGGCCACACAGTAGAGATTCAGTACGCATTGTTGAATAGCTTTCATCTCTAGGGCAGTTTTCTGTCTTCAAGACAAACAGTGGCCTGAGAGCTCTGAGAATTTAGGTATCCAGGGATCCAATTGCTTTCTTATTTACTGAGAGATAGGCATGTCTCTGGTGAGATCCTGCCAAACATAAACTCCTCCTTATTAATAAATTTAGGAATTGTCTGGAACCACCACGATGGAGACTATCAACAATATGTACATCAGTTCTCTGAGTTGAAAGGTGTGTGCACAGCACTGCCCCTGATGTCTGTGACTTTCGGTCAGAGACTTAACCTCTCTGATCTTTAGATCTTCACTGGTTTAAAAAGAAAGAGCTGGGTCAGTATTACCAACCTCAACAGGTCATTATGAGGATTAAATGAGACAACACATGGGAAGGGTCTC
Source organism: Homo sapiens (assembly GCF_000001405.40). Lineage (NCBI taxonomy): Eukaryota > Metazoa > Chordata > Mammalia > Primates > Hominidae > Homo > Homo sapiens. The sequence continues at coordinate 137,652 of NW_025791763.1, forward strand.
ATCCAGTGCTGGCTCGTAGTGGGATCTCCATGAAGGTAAGTCTATCCCTGTGCCTTCCAGGAGGGGCAACAGCTATGTGGGATTTCATAAAACGATGCATTATAGGACCTGCTCCCTGCCCTCACCTAGCTTATAATTTAGGCAAGAAGAGTTTCTGAAACCACAGACATAGAAATCATAATTCCAGGCCACAGCAGGGGAGACCCCACATGGCAGTGCCTGGTCTGGTCTTTAGAGCAGGCATGACCTATGCCCGTGGGCCCACATCCCTTGTAGCTGTGATTTGGGGCAGGAACAGTGATTTTACAAAGTTAAAAAAGGCATGTAAAAATCCAGACTTTCGGCCAGGAATGGTAGCTCATGCCTGTAATCCCAGCACTCTGGGAGGCCGAGGCGGGTGGGTCACCTGAGGTCAGGAATTCAAGACCAGCCTGGCCAACATGATGAAACCCCATCTCTAGTAAAAATACAAAAATCAGTCGGATGTGGTGGCACGCGCCTGTAATCCCAGCTACTCGGGATGCTGAGGCAGGAGAATCGCTTGAACCTGGGAGGCAGAGGTTGCAGTGAGCTGAGATCACGCCGCTGCACTCCAGCCTGGGCGACAGAGCAAGACTCCATCTCAAAAAAAAAAAAAAAAAAAAAAAAAAATTCCAGACTTCTAGCCTGTCTCAAAAAATCAGGAGGTATGGCAAGAATGGGCTCAAATTCCTACACGGTAACAGTCAGCAGCCCCCAGATGGGCTGTGGCCACCCCTCCTGCAGAGCTCTGTGGTGTGTCTGGGCTGAGTGGGGCTGGGTTCAAACCCTGGACCCACCACTTACCAGCTGGCATGACCTCAAGCAGGTTACCTGACCTCTTCTGTACATCTGGGCAGTGGCAGTACCTGCGTCCTGATCTTGTTGTGGGGATTTGCTGAGCTTCAGTCTGTGTAAAAGCCCAGAAGCACCTGATAATTATTATTGTGGCTGCTGTTATTATCTTGACTCCTCTATGCCCAACCCTGGGAAGCATTCATGTGCTTGCTCTGTGGGTCGGAAGAAGGAAAACTCATCACAGCCTGGGGATTGATGGACTTTTTAGAGGACCTGTCTTTTGAATTGGGCCTGAACTGCGAGAGGGAAGAGCCATGCTAGGCAGGGGGACAGCAAGAGTAAAAGCGCAGAGGTGGAAAGTGTGCACCGTGTCAAGTGGCTGTCAGCAGGGTCCTTTTATGACTGATGAGTTTTCTTTTGTTTCTGTGTGAGTTGCAAATGGGTTTGGGTCTTGGTGCACGTCAGTATCTTGGACCCCTGAGGAAGGATGTCATCACCCCCAGGTTGAGCATGCACAGCCTTCTTCAGGACGGTGAGACGAACCCGCTGAGCAGGCTGTGGGCAAGGTCACTGTGGGGTCCAAACAGAGACATGGGGAGGGTCAGAGGACCCTTCTGTGTCATTACGGGATTGGGAAGTGGAATGGCCCTAAGATGTCCCCTGGGACTCGAATGTGACAAAACCTTGTCCCTCAGCAGAAGAGAATCTAGAAAATCTGTCTGGTGGAGTCCTGGAAGTGGGTGAGGTGTGGGGTGGGGTGAGAAGGGGTTGTGCAAGACTGGACTGGTGACCCAAGGGAGGCCCAGAAAACGCCTTGAAGGGGAGCACAAAGATGGGCAGGAGAAACCTCCAGTTTCCCTGTGGCTGGGGTGGGGGGAGGGTTTGGGGGCCAGGTGCATGAATGGACCCCAGCTCCTTTTTGGGTGGGAGCAGCCATGACAAGGAACTGTATTAAACTTCGAAATGCAGAACTCTAGAGTAGCCTGTGTCTACACTGATTTTAAGTTATGAATTTTCTAGTGGTTCTTATTATAGGTAATGAGACATATTCCCTACAAATCAGGAATATCCTATAATTCTATGGTTTCCACCTCCCAATGACACCTCTCTGATTGTCTCACACTTAGAAGTAATACCCAAAAATAGCCTTTGAGGAATCCTATGCCCCAGTGTTTTATTTGGAAGGTAAGGTCACTGTATTTATGTATCAGCCATAAATACTTGAATGAGAGTGAAAATTCCTAAGGATTTGCCATTTCCGGCTGATGGCACTAGATCCCTTGGAAGTGTCCCATGTCATAATATGCCAACACATTTAGAATTTTCAACAGTCATGGAAACAAACAGGTGCTTGGGGCAGCTAAAAATAACCACCCTGGGAAGTGAAACTGTGGCAGTGCCAAGGAGCTAAGGTGGGCAGTACTGCGCTTTTGGGTGAGGTCAAAACTCTGGAGGGAAGGCCAAGAAAAGAAAATTCTGCCCATGCCCCTCCTCCCAGCACCCAGGAGTGTGTTTTCTCTTCTCAGAATCTCTGTCTGATGTGCTAGCCTTTTTGTGTCATTTCGACTGAAACGTCTCACAGCTCCAACCCACTGCCCCCATATCTTGCATAGCTTTCTGTCCAGATTTCTGAATTAAAGGCTGGATCCAGAGGGTGTCCCACTGTGCATGGATGGGGGGCTTCCTCCCACCCCAGTGGGATGCTCCTGCTGCCATTCTCACCCCGGAACGCCCCTGACTCAGCCACCTCCGGGGCGGTGAGAGGTGTGAGGGATGATCGGGGAGTGCCATGCTCAGCAGCCTGAACCGTGTCAGGGAACCCAGGCATTCCAGCCTGTGTCATCCTCCCCCTCCCGTGAAGAGCCACAGCCACATCCTCCATGCCCTGCTGCACTTCCTGAGGAGTGAAAGATGGTGGCTGTCAGCGTGTCAAGGATGACGGGTGGCAAGAGGGGTAAACACAGCTTGTTACTACCAGATTCGATTACCGGGTGATGCTCGAAGACAAATGGCCTGGGGCCTTTCTGCCCCTTGAGGGCAGGGGCAGTCTTAGTCACCAGGAGCAGGGTCCTATGAGGAGGAGTTAGGGATGTTGTGGAATTGTCTCCCAAAGCCAGTGCCAGCCGATAGGACTAGTTGTGTTATCTCGAGTTTTCGTTGTTGGTAGTTTTGAATTGGGAGCCTTGATTTGACCCTGAGAATAACCAAAACTGTACAAAAGACATGTGTATTCAAAACAAGACACAATAAGGCTCAAAAACAAAACTGTCTATGGTGATAAAGGTTAGAGTAGGAGTTACCTTGGGGGCAGAGGAATGTTGGCTGGGACAGGATATGCAAGAACCTCTAGAATGGTTCTGGAATGTTCTGTATCTTGATCTGGTGGTGGTGACACAAGTTTATACAGATGTATTAATTGAGCTGTACATTTAAGATGTGGGGAATCGCTCTGAACCTATTCTGGTAACAGGGGCTCCCCGAGTTTTAAAAAAGATGTGTACATTTTACTGTATATATGCTATATCTCAGTGAATAAGTAACAATAAAGAAAAATATGCATAAAGGTGGACTGTGAACAGAAACACCTTGGCAACATTTGAATAACCTAGCTTTTACCATATTTGGAGTTTGCTGTCCCCTGGTCCTAGGTGCTAAAAACCTGATTTGGTTCAGTCCAGACATTTAAAACACCAGCCAGCTATGGAGAGTAAAATAATGGCAAGTCTCTTCCTAGTTTGACCATCAAGAGAGTAATTTGGAAACTCCAGCCCTGTGCCCTGAAACCAGAGTCTGTCCATCCCTCTACAATTAGATGAGATTCCTGGGGCATCAAGGTCAAGCAGATCCAGCTTTGAATTGCTGTTCTGCCACTTTAACACCGGGACCTTCTGAAAAACAGTTGCCCTCTCTCAGGTTCCGTTTCTTTGTGAATTGGGTGAACTCTTGAGTGTTCTTTAGCAAAGGAGTACCTGTAACGTGCTCCACCCAGTGGTGAGTCCGTAGCAGGTGATCAATAAATGCTAAAGATGCTGATTGTCATTGTCACCACTATCACGAAATTGTGCAGCGTTCGAGGGAACTCCAGGGAGCCACATACCCTCGCCAGTGATGTACCTCTACAATGGCTTCAACAAACAGTTCCCACACAACGCAACTTTTCCTACAGTTGGGTGGGCTCCAGGGTGCAGAGGCCCCCCGCCTTGCTTGGCAGGTTGGCTTGGCTGGAGCCTTTGCTGGTTCTCAGAGCGGGAACATGGTCGAGTTGGCCAACAGTGTACCCACGTTGAAGCAGCTGTGCCGAACATCTGGCTCTGATTATCTGGCTGGGAATGGCCGGGGGTGGGAGCACTGTGATTTATAGATTGCTCCTTTGGCTGTAAATCCCATCTGTAATTGTGACTTCTCTGTCCCTAATTGTTTGCAGAGAAGAGAGGAGCTCAATGGCTTACAATCCCTGGCAGAGCCCAAGGCTGCTGGGGTGGGGGTGGGGGGGGGTGAGGGGGGTGGTGAGGTTTGTTGCTAGGACACGGCTGTCTTTGTTTTGGTCCCTGCTCAGCAGTGTTTTTAAGGCCCTGTATACATTTCTCTGTATTGTTAATGTAATTTGTTCAGGCAGTGAACAGCCAAGTTCAGCCGAAGGAATCCGATACTCATAACAGAAACACCAGAGGCCAGGTTTTTGTGGTCAAATTAGGGTTTTGAGGCCTCTGAAGAGAATGAAATGTTGGCGCTGGGCGGGGGACAATCTCCCTTTCTCCTCTTGTGGTGATGCTGGCCTGGGTTCAGCTTCCTTGAGGAGCTTGGCTTTGGGGCACCAAGTCCACTGCATTCAGGGCTGTGTTAGGTGGGGAGCCCGGCTGCCCTTCTCCGAGAAAGGGAATGCAGATTTTATTCAAAAGGGAAGAAAAGGCACTAACAAAGTATGAGCAAGTTTGGGCCCTGCCTGCCCAGCCTTTCCTTCCCCGTGGCTCCGGGCAGCTTTTTTCCCCCCATCCCCCACCCTGCATTACTTGACTGGTGAGGAAATAATAGTTGGGCTCTGCTGAGAAGGTATGTGACTGTGCAAAATGCAATTTGCCCGTTTCCGCTGCCCATGAAGACCCGACAGCCCACTTGCCATCTGGGAACCTCGCGCCCTGCTGTGCTTGGAGTTTTCGGAAACGATGGATTCCAAACAACTTCCAGTGAGCAATTGGTGATATTAAGTTAACTGAGTTCATCTTACCCTTTTTATTTTGCCTCAGAGAGTAAAATAAGATAGAAGCAAACATACCAGCCCACAAACATGTCCATGCTTCCTTTTGCTTCTAGAAGGCGTATGTTGGGAAATTAATCAGACCAACGTTAGCCCCTTCCTCCCGGCCCTGGAAGAATGCCTGGTGTGTGTGCATCCCCCTCTCCAGTTAGCAATTACCGAACAACTTCTGTGGCTACCAAGGAGAGCATGATAGGGTCCCAGCCCTCCAGAGCTTACAATGTAAGAGAACAAACAGGAACATGAGTCTTTACAATACCTGCAGTGAGCGCCAACAAAGTGGAATAAAATGTCACCTGAAATACCTGAGAAAGGGGCTTCTCAAGCTTGGAGAAGGCAGAGGCTTTGGAGAGATGTTTGATCTGAGCCTTGCAGGAGACCGTCCAAGTGTGGGTTCTAGTACTACCTGGATGCAAGCCTTCCTCCGCCTGTGTCCCAGCAAGGAAGAGTTGCCTTCTTAATGACCCCATTCATTGTCCCTAGAACGTGGTGATTTACCAGAAGTCTTCAGAGGCAAGCCATCTTCAATTCAGAAGGGGAATCCCACATGTGTGTTGAATATGAGGCATTGTTTAAGACACCTCCTGCCCTCACCACATTGGCAAACTGACAGCGTCAACTTGAAACAAGTCTGCACATTGTGGCCATTTTCACTCCACAACAAATGTTTGTAAGTGGCCACCTAAGCCTGTGAACTTCCTAACTTTGATAATTACAAACACGAGGTAGATAAGATTGAAGCAAACCTGGCAAGTTATACTGACTTGCAGCTGAAGCACTCTGAGAAACAGAACAATTTGTTCACAGAAAAAGGAAATTAAGGTGTTTCTACACTCTTTAATTTCCAAGGTCTTTGTTTAAAGTGAATGAGTTCAAATGAGGGAAGACACATTCTGCTCACGTTTGATGTCACTCACTACTCATGTCGCAGCATAGGGTGTCACAGCCTGTGTCCCAGCTTCTTCCCATGGGCACCATGCTCTTCAGCCATACAGACTCGGACATTCCACTGCCAACCAGTATCCTCACCAATGACCCCAAGGTGCTGTTGAGGCACTTTTCTTTTTCAGAGTTTACTGACATCCTACCCACCACTGAGTAGCATGTTCCTTGCCCATGATTCCCTTCTGTACTCCCTCCCCCAATACCCTGTATAGGCCAAGTATCCCTTATCCAAAATGTTTGGGGCCAGAAGTGTTTCGCAGTTTTGGAACTCTTATTGGATTTGGGAATATTTGCATTATACTGACCAGCTGAGCATCTGTAATTGGAAAATCTGACATGCCCCAGTCAGCATCTCATTTGAGTGTCATGTTGGCACTCAAGAAGTTTCAGATTTTTGAGCATTTTGGATTTTGTATTTTCGATTTTGGGGTTAGGGATGCTCAACTTGTACTAGCATTAAATTAGGTCTAATCAGTTTTTATCAAAATAATTTTTTTCTTTTTTGTCTCCTTCACTAGACCATGGAATTCCTTGGAATCAAAAATCATGTCCTCTTCTCCCGTGCCTAGAAGAATGCCCGAGAGGTGTTCACTATGTATTTATAGGGTGAAATTTTCCTATATATGTCTTATATCCCTTAAGAAATTTTTTTCCAGACAATAAATGCTCCCTTTTCAAAGCACTATAATTAACTCTAGGTGTTTTTGATTTAAAATGTTCTGAAATGCATCCCACACTTTTCTAACTTTACTTATTTTATTTATTTATTTATTTATTTATTTATTTATTTTTGAGACAAGATCTTGCTCTGTCACCCAGGCCTGGAGTGCAGTGGCACGATCTTGGCTCACTGCAATTCCGCCTCCTGGGCTCAAGCAATCCTTCTGCCTCAGCCTCCTGAATAACTGGGACTATAAGCACATGCCACCATGCCTGGCTAATTTTTGTATTTTTTGAAGAGATGGGGTTTCACCATGTTGCCCAGGTTGGTCTTGAACTCCTAGGTTCAAGGGATTTGCCTGCCTTGGCCTCCCAAAGTTCTGGGATTACAGGCGTGAGCTACCACGCCCAGCGTTATCTGACTTCTAGTGGTTCCAAACATCTATATTAAAATCATGAACTAGGAAATATTTAGTTAAAATATCTTTTTATTCCAATGGGGGGGGGAAAACTGGTGATAGTGTTCTTTCCTAAAGCTTTTGCATTTTTTCCTCTAGGAGAGGTCCTTGGATATTTACCCAGGCTTTCCTGACTTGATAAAAGAACACTGCTTGATTATATAGTGCAGTCATCTGCAGATTAAGTGGCAGCTGACCATCTAGGCAGGGGAAAATATGAGAAGTAATAATATAAAAGGATACTCTGTGATGGACGGGCATAATGGTGAATAAGATGTTCAGAGCCAGGAGCACTGGGTCACACCTGTAATCCCAATACTTTGGGATGCTGAAGCAGGAGGATCACTTGAGGCCAGGAGTTCAAGACCAGCCAGGTCAACATAGCCAGACCCTGTCTCTACAAAAAATAAAATAAAATAGGCACACACCTGTAATCCCAGCTACTCAGGAGGCTGAGGTGAGAGGATGGCTTGAGCCCAGAAGTTAGGGGCTGCAGTGAGCCACGCTTGTGCCCCTGAACTCCAGCTTGGGCAACAGAGTGAAACCCCATCTCAAAAAACAATTTTTTTTCCCCAGAAAATGCTGTTGTATGCTTTCCATTGAAAGAAAGAAGCAGGATCAGAGAAATGCAGACTAAAACAATGAGACGGCAAAAGTTAAAGTCTAAGCATACTGGTGTTGGCGAGGATGTTTGTTAATAAATGACACATTTGCGTATTATATTGAGGAATGATTTGGCAATATCTAGTAAAATCAAAGATGCACATATCTTATGACCCAGCAAATCTACTACACATGAGCACAAGGGACATGAACAAGAACGCTCCTTGCTGCATTGTTTACAGTAGCATAAACTAGAAACAACATATGTGGCCATCTATGTATTAAATAAATAAATATAGTCATCTAGTAGAATATAGTGAATTAACTCAGATCTACATGTATTAACATGAATAAATTCTAAAAGTGTAACACTCATTAGAAAAAGTAAGTGGCTAGGCTGGGCACAGTTGCTCACACCTATAATCCCAGCACTTTGGGAGGCCGAGGCAGTGGGATCACTTGAACCCAGGAGTTTAAGACCAGCATGGGCAGCATAGTGAGACCTCATCTCTTTGAAAAGAAAGAAAGAAAAAATAAGGGGCTAAAAAATACCTAAAATGTAGTGCCATTTATAAGAATGTTTGTAACTCCCAAGAGAATGATAATTGCATTTGGTTATACAGGAGAATGCCCTGGTGTTTAGGAGATCTGGGCTGAGGTATTTGAGGGTAAGGTGTTACAATGTTGACAACTGACTTTCAAATGGTTCTGCAAAATTAAAATGTGTTTGTGTGAATACATACATAGGGGAGGGAGGTAAGCAAAGCCAATGTGTGAACATGTTAACGATGATTGATCTGGATGAAGGACAGATGGGTGTTTATTGTACTTTTCCTATAACTTTCCTGTAAAATGGAACTTTTCAAAATAAAAAATTGAAGACACTCATTGAACCTATAAATTGTGGATAATACATATGTAGTGAAATATATTCAATGAAAAACATGCAGAGGTATGACAAGCAGTACCTTTAGGACAACATTACTTCTGGGAGGGCAGATAAATGAATGACAGATCGGATACTTGAGCTATATCAATAACACTTTATTTCTTTAAGAAAAAAAAGAGGTGGGGAGCTCTAGATTAATATGGGAAAATGATAAGCTATTCAATCTGGTGTCCATTAGTGTCTCTACTTACTTTCTGTACTTAAAAAAAAATATATATATATGTATATATATTTTTTGAGATGGAGTCTCACTGTCACCCAGGCTGGAGTACAGTGGCGCAATGTCAGCTCACTGCAACCTCCTCCCAGGTTGAAGCGATTCTCCTGCCTCAGCCTTCCGAGCAGCTTGGACTACAGGCACGCGCCTCCATGCCCAGCTAACTTTTGTATTTTTGATAGAGACAGGGTTTCACCATGTTGGCCAGGATGGTCTCGATCTCTTGACCTCGTTCTCTACCCACCTCAGCCTCCCAAAGTGCTGGGATTACAGGCATGAGCCACTGCACCCAGCCTATAGTTTTATAACTAGATGATAGTTTATTCCATAACTATAAACAACATTTTTAAAACTTCAGAAAAGTGGGAATAAATAATTTAGTTTTCCTTTTAAAATTAAAGCTTATTTTGAAAGTTATTTTGGTGCTTAAAAGAGAGAGAATATATATTTTGTAGCTCTATCCACTGGAAAAGATTAGAAACAATGATTATCTCAATAGCACTGACCAGCTCCAGTGCTCAGATTATATTCACCAAATCCCATTTCCCAGTTAAAATAAAACCAGGCTCCTGGGAGAAGGAGCTGATTCGATGTATGAAGTTAGCCTAGAATATATTGTTATACAAGAAAGCATGAAAGCTATTGAAGACCATTAGAGACCCAAGTCTATTGTTACGCACTCAGGTACTAGGGCTGCTAGGTCGGAAGGACTCAGCAGCCAAACTGAGTAAGACGGAAAAGATGAAATAATTAGATCATCAAGAATATATTATATTTATTAAAATCCTTAAGTTCACGCTGACACCAAGAAAACACAACAAAATAAACACAACACTGGTCTCCTTTGGAGGACAACAGGGAGCTGAGTCATTATTTTCAATATGTTAATAGAAAGAATCACGCATTTGTCCTGCCTGTGCTGTGTGCTGTTTGCCACTGGGCCACTAGTTGAGGAAAGTTTTTCTTTACAGAAGTATTTCAGCTAATAAATGAAGAAGAAATAGTCTTGTTTCCTGTCTTAGTTCATTTTGTGTTGCTGTAACAGCACACCACAAACTGGGTAATTTATAAAGGAAAGATATTTACTTGGCTCACAGTTAAGGAGGCTGGGAAGTCCAAGGGCATAGTGCCGACATCTGCTCAGCATCTGGTGCAGGCCTTCTTACTGCATCGTCCTATAGCAGAAAGGCAAGAGAGTACGCCTGTGTGTGCACAAGACGGCAGAATGGGGGATGGGGGGCAAACTCATACTTTAATCAGGAACCCACTCCCACAATAAGGGCATTAATACATTTATGAGGGCACAGCCCTCATAACCTAATCACCTCTTAAAGTTTCCACTTCTCAACACTGTTGCATTATGCATTAAGTTTGCAAAACATGAACTTTGGGGGACATATTCAAACCATGGCATTCCCTCTCCCCTAAATAAAATAAAGTAAAATAACATTGAACCTGAATTTGATCAAGCCTCTAGATCTAATTATTAATTTACCAGAAATACAATTCAGAAGAACATGTTAGATTGACACCATGAGGATATGATTAGCAAAATCCAGACTTAAAAAAAAAAAAAACTACAGGAACAATAACTTGGTTTCCTCCACGAATAATACAGGAGGCGTGGGCAGGGTGGAAATAGGGAAAGAGAAAGACTCCTAAAGATTAAAAGGCTATAAAAGACTAAAGGTGGCCAGATGCGGTGGCTCATGCCTATAATCCCAGCACTTCTGGAGGCCGAGGAGGGTGGATCACCTGAGGTCAGGAGTTCGAGACCAGCCTGACCAACATGGTGAAACCTCGTCTCTACTAAAAATACAAAATTAAGCGGGCGTGGTGGCGCACGCCTGTAATCCCAGCTACTTGGGAGGCTGAGGCAGGAGAATCGCTTGAAACCAGAAGGTGGAGGTTGCAGTGAGCCGAGATTGGCCATTGCACTCCAGCCTGGGCAGCAAGAGTGAGACTCCATCTCAAAAAAAAAAACAAACAAACAAACAAAAAAAAAAACACTAAAGGCTTGGCCAGGCGTGGTGGTTCACGCCTGTAATCCCAGCACTTTGGGAGGCCACGGTGTGGATTGCTTGAGCTCAGGAGTTCAAGGCCAGCCTGGGCAACATGGTGAAATCCCTGTCTCCACCAAAAATACAAAAAATTAGCCCGGCACAGGGGTATGCACCTGTCGTCCCAGCTACTTGGGAGGCTGAGTTGTGAGGATTGCTTGAGCCAGGGAGGCAGAGGCTGCAGTGAGCCTAGATTGCACTGCTGCACTCCAGCCTGGGTGACAGAGTGAGACCCCATCTCAAAAAAAAAAAAAAAAAAAAGATTAAAGGCTTTAAAAAAGAATAAAAGACATAAATTGACCAATAGCAAATGTATGGACCATGCATTGGATCCTGATTGGAATAAACTGTAGGGAAAAATTATTTGTAAGACATAATATTAGAAAATTATTGTTAACCCTTAAAAACATTTTTTAGGATTTTAAAAAATTTTCTGCTTTCTAGAGATAACACACAGAAATATTTACCAATGAAGTGATAGGCTATCTGGGCTCTGTTTCGAAATAGTCTTGGGCTTAGGGGTGGATGAGCAAGGAGTGGGTGGGGGATGGATGAATGGAGACGGGCCATGAGCTAGTAATTGCAGAACCTGGTGGTGGCTTAACCAGATTCATTATATTGTTCTCTCTACTTTTGTGTACATTGGAAATTTTCCAAAATGGTTTGTTTTTGAGATGGAATCTCACTCAGTCGCCTAGGCTAGAGTGCACTGGTGCAATCATAGCTCACTGTAGCTTCAAACTCCTGGGCCCAAGCAATCCCCCCACCTCAGCCTCCTGAGTAGCTGGGACTATAGGTGTGTGCCATCACGCCCTGCTAATTTTTCTAAATTTTTTGTAGAGACAAGGTTTCGAAATCCTGGCCTCAAGTGATCCTCTTGCCTTAGCCTCCCAAAGTGCCGGGATTACAGGCATGAGCCACCACACCTGGCCACAAAATAAAAGGTTTTAAATATTTCATTTTTATTCACCTGGCAGAATCCCAGGTAGAAGTTAGAGTGTTTGGTGGATGGTTGAGTGTCTGAGCAGGACCCCACAGCCAAGGGGGGTTAGAGGGAGGGGCCGGCAAGGGTAGGGAATAAGGCCTGATCAAGTGAGCTGCTGGAGGTGGATGTATGGGGTGTCTGCTTCCCCAGGTGGAGCTGGATAGATACTGGTGTGCTGAGAATGAGAAGGAGGATGAAGAAAGTTGCAAAACCCAGCAAAAAGTACCCAAAAGCAACCACTCACAGCAAAAATTGGGGGAATGAGTGATTTAACCCCGCAAGGCATACACTTTCTAGGACTTTACAAATAAGAACACCTTTAGTCCCTACAGCAACCCTCCCATGAGGTATGTGCTTGCTGTTCTTTGTCCCTATTTTACCTTTTTTTATTATACTTTAAGTTCTAGGATACATGTGCACAACGTGCAGGTTTGTTACATAGGTATACATGTGCCATATTGGTTTGCTGCACCCATCAACTTGTCATTTACATTAGGTATTTCTCCTAACACTATCCCTCCCCCAGCCCCCACTCCCCAACAGGCCCTGGTGTGTGATGTTCCTCTCCCTGTGTCCATGTGTTCTCATTGTTCAACTCCCACCTATGAGTGAGGACATGCAGTGTTTGGTTTCCTGTCCTTGTGATAGTTTGCTGAGAATGATGGTTTCCAGCTTCATCCATGTCCCTGCCAAAGGACATGAAATCATCGTTTTTTATAGCTGCATAGTATTCCATGGTGTATATGTGCCACATTTTCTTTATCCAGTCAATTATTGATGGACATTTGGGTCGGTTCCAAGTCTTTGCTATTGTGAATAGTGCCACAGTAAACATACATGTGCATATGTCTTTATAGTAGCATGATTTATAATCCTTTGAGTATATACCCAGTAATGGGATTGCTGGGTCAAATGGTATTTCTAGTTCTAGATCCTTGAGGAATTGCCATACTGTCTTCCACAATGGTTGAACTAATTTACACTCCCACCAACAATGTAAAAGTGTTCCTATTTCTCCACACCCTCTCCAGCACCTGTTGTTTCCTGACTTTAATGATCGCCATTCTAACTGGCATGAGAAATCTCATTGTGTTTTTGATTTGCATTTCTCTGATGACCAGTGATGATGAGTATTTTTTCATATGTCTGTTGGCTGCATAAATGTCTTCATTTGAGAAGTATCTGTTCATATCCTTTGCCCACTTTTTGATGGGGTCATTTGTTTTTTTCTTGTAAATTTGTTTAAGTTCTTTGTAGATTCTGGATATTAGTCCTTTGTCAGATGGATAGATTGCAAAAATTTTCTCCTATTCTGTAGGTTGCCTGTTCACTCTGATGATAGTATCTTTTGCTGTGCAGAAGCTCTTTAATTAGATCCCATTTGTCAATTTTGGCTTTTGTTGCCATTGCTTTTGGTGTTTTAGTCATGAAGTCTTTGCCCATGCCTATGTCCTGAATGGTATTGCCTAGGTTTTCTTCTAGGGTTTTTATGGTTTTAGGGCTTACATTTAAGTCTTTAATCCATCTTGAGTTAATTTTTGTGTAAGGTGTTAGGAAGGGATCCAGTTTTAGCTTTCTACATATGGCTAGCCAGTTTTCCCAGCACCATTTATTAAATAGGGAATCCTTTCCCCATTGCTTATTTTTGTCAGGTTTGTCAAAGATCAGATGGTTGTAGATGTGCAGTGTTATTTCTGAGGCCTCTATTCTGTTCCATTGGTCTATATCTCTGTTTTGGTACCAGTACCATGCTGTTTTGGTTACTGTAGCCTTGTAGTATATTTGAAGTCAGGTAGCATGATGCCTCCAGCTTTGTTCTTTTTGCTTAGGATTTTCTTGCCTATGCCGGCTCTTTTGGTTCCATATGAAATTTAAAGTAGTTTTTTCCAATTCTGTGAAGAAAGTCAGTGGTAGCTTGATGGGGATGGCATTGAATCTATAAATTACCTTGGGCAGTATGGCCATTTTCACGATATTGATTCTTCCTATCCATGAGCATGGAATGTTCTTCCATTTGTTTGTGTCTTCTTTTATTTCGTTGAGCAGTGGTTTGTAGTTCTCCTTGAAGAGGCCCTTCACATCCTTTGTAAATTGGATTCCTAGGTATTTTATTCTCTTTGTAGTAATTGTGAATGGGAGTTCACTCATGATTTGGCTCTCTGTTTGTCTGTTATTGGTGTATGGGAATGCTTGTGATTTTTGCACATTGATTTTGTATCCTGAGACTTTGCTGAAGTTGCTTATTAGCTTAAGGAGATTTTGGGCTGAGACGATGGGGTTTTCTAAATATACAGTCATGTCATCTGCAAACAGAGACAATTTGACTTCCTCTTTTCCTAATTGAATACCCTTTATTTCTTTCTCTTGACTGATTGCCCTGGCCAGAACTTCCAATACTGTGTTGATAGGAGTGGTGAGAGAGGGCATCCCTGTCTTGTGCCGGTTTTCAAAGGGAATGCTTCTAGTTTTTGCTCATTCAGTATGATATTGGCTGTGGGTTTGTCATAAATAGCTCTTATTATTTTGAGATACATTCCATCAATACCTAGTTTATTGAGAGTTTTTAGCATGAAATGCTGTTGAATTTTGTTGAAGGCCTTTTCTGCGTCTATTGAGATAATCACGTGGTTTTTGTCGTTGGTTCTGTTTATGTGAAGGATTACATTTACTGATTTGCATATGTTGAACCAGCCTTGCATCCAGGGATGAAGCCAACTTGATTGTGGTAGATAAGCTTTCTGATGTGCTGCTGGATTCGGTTTGCTAGTATTTTATTGAGGATCTTCGCATCGATGTTCATCAGGGATATTAGCCTAAAATTCTCTTTTTTTGCTGTGTCTCTGCCAGGCTTTGGTATCAGGATGATGCTGGCCTCATAAAATGAGTTAGGGAGGATTTCTTCTTTTTCTATTGATTGGAATAGTTTCAGAAGGAATGGTACCAGCTCCATTTTGTACCTATCCCTATTTTACCATTAAGGAAGCTGACACACAGATAAATTACTTGCCTAAGTCAGTGGCAAGTCCCTTAAGTCACTGGCAAAGCCAGGATTTGAATCTGGGCTAGCCTGGAACCTGGCTTCTTTGCTGCTGTGCCACACTGTGCTTCTCTATGTCAGTGCAACTTCCAAGTTTTGGTGGAAATCTACCACCATAAAGTAGCTTCCTCTCCCAACTTTATTCTCTTAGTTCCCATTCTCCTAATCACCCAAACTTGGTGACTTCAGCTCTTCTCTCCCTCCTGTCCCATAATAACCACTCACTCCTAGGTCCTATGTATTCTCTAAAACTGTCCTGTGATCCCAGAGCCATCTCTCAGAACACAGTTTGTGGTTTTCCAGCCTGGATCACTGCAGTAGTGCCCCTGACTCCAGCTCTTCCCTTTCTGTTTATCTCCCCCCGCCTTTTTTTTTTTTTTTTTTAACCTCCCAGTGCACCACTTTCTCCATGTCATTCTCGTGCTTGCAAACCTTCAAGGCATCCTCATTGATCATAAATTGAACACAAGGTCTTGCTTCTAAGACAGCGAGAACAGTCAGGGCTTGGGTTCAAATAGCACCGCTGCCGCCGTTTTACCCTGTGACCCTGCAGGATGGGGATGGGACTCACTCAGAGAGGCTTTAAGATCAGATGTGCAAAAGCGTACATAGAGTGGCTGAGAAAATACAAGCACTTGGTCTCCAGAGTGAGTTGGTGCTTAACAAATGTTCACTCCTATGCTGTTTTGCTGTTTTTCCGGCATCTACCTTGTAACAACTCTACCAAATCCCTTTATCTTTGGACTTCTCTTCCTGCCCTCACCCCTTTGCACTTAGCTCCGCTCACTGCATTGCTCTGCTCTGCTTACACTGTCAAACCCCCTCTGAACTCAACTAAAGGAGCCTCCCTCTCCCTCAGGCCTTGGCGACCTGTTCTTCCCATGAACTACTAGAGTGGTTGCCACTTGAACAACGCCTGGGTTTTTTGGACCATTCGAATTTCAGAAAACTTGGTGGGGAAAAGGGACTGTCAGAGTAATACCCCCTCTTTTTTTTTTTTTTAACCAAGTAAGAATATTAAGAGAAACAACGATCCTAATTTCATGTGAAAAAGAATATTTTAATAATAACAAAAAGGGTGGGTGGGGGGACAAGCTCACCCTAGAGCAAAGGACAGTCTTTTAAATTATATAAGCTTAGCTTTAGTTAAAAACTTGACTCTTCAGTCTTGTTTCTACCATTCTAATAGAAACCAGTGATGCCTGCCACTTATTTGAGTGTATATGGCTCATTTCCCATCCTCCTTATAAGCTCTGGATTCTGGGCTGGGCACAGTGGCTCACACCTATAATCCCAACACTTTGCGGCCCAAGGTGGGAGGATCTCTTGAGGCTAGGAGTTCAAGACCAGGCTGGGCAACAGAGTGAGACCCTGTCTCTACAAAAATAAAAATTAGCCAGGCGTGGTGCCGTGCACCTGTAGTCCCAGCTACTCGGGAGGCTGAGGTGGGAGGATTGCTTGAACCCAGGAGTTTAAGGCTACAGGGAACTATGATCTCCCTACTGCACTCCAGCCTGAGTGACAGAGCAAGACCCTGTCTCCAAAAAAAAAAAAAAAAAAAAAAAATTAGTCACAAACATTTTCATGTTGTTTGGGTATTTGTTTTTCCATTCAACATTTAATCCTTGAGTAGGTCCTAGCAGTCTGGGCAGTGTCTTAGGGACTAAGGTATTATAAAAAGATAGGAGACTGGGTGTGGTGGCTCATGCCTATAATCCCAACACTTTGAGAGGCCAAGGCAGGAGGATCACTTGAGCCCACGGGTTCAAGATCATCTTGGGCAACATAGCGAGACCCAGTCTCTACAAATAATTTTAAAAATCAGCCATGTGTGGTGGTGCACGCCTGTAGTCTCAGCTACTTGGGGAGTTGAGGCAGGAGGATCCCTTGAGACTAGGAGGTCAAGGCTGCAGTGAGCCGTGATTGCACCACTGTACTCCTGCCTGGGTAACAGAGTGACACAAAATTCTGTTTAATAAAAATTAAATGATAGGGTTCCAGCCTTAGAGGGACTGCGTTTCAAGTGAGAGAGAGGGATGAATGTCCAGTCACCAGTGGGGACGTTGTGCTGAGGAAGGGCAGCCTAGACCTTGAAAGGGAGCGAAGAGGTGGGTTGGGGCTCCCTGCAAAGTATGCCACCTGACTTGGGGTTCCCAAGGAGTTCAGAATGGTTGGAATTTAGTCACAGGAAGCAAGGAAGGAGATGTTGAGAGATGGGCTAGGGAGGTAACAGAGACCAGCCCTCAAAGTCCTTCTTTATCATTCTTAGAAATTTGAACCTTAGGCTGGGCTCGGTGGCTCACGCCTGTAATCCCAGCACTTTGGGAGGCCGAGGCGGGCAGATCATGAGGTCAGGAGATTGAGACCATCCCGGCTAACACGGTGAAACCCCATCTCTCCTAAAAAAAAAAATACAAAAAATTAGCCGGGGAGGGTGGTGGGCGCCTGCAGTCCCAGCTACTCGGGAGGCTGAGCCAGGAGATTGGCATGAACCCAGGAGGCGGAGCTTGCAGTGAGCCGAGATTGCGCCACTGCACTCCAGCCTGGGCGACAGAGAGAGACTCTGTCTCAAAAAAAAAAAAAAAAAAAGAAAGGAAAAGAAATTAGAACCTTGGGCCAGGCGCGGTGGCTCACGCCTGTAATCCCAGCACTTTGGGAGGCTGAGGCGTGCGGATCACAAGGTCAAGAGATTGAGACCATCCTGGCCAACATGGTGAAACCCTGTCTCTACTGAAAATACAAAAAATTAGCTGGGCGTGTTGGCACACACCTGTAGTCCCAGCTACTCCGGGAGGCTGAGGCAGGAAAATCACTTGAACCCGGGAGGCGGAGCTTGCAGTGAGCTGAGATCGTGCCAGTGCACTCCAGCTGGGAGACAGAGCGAGACTCCGTCTCAAAAAAAGAAAAGGAAGGAAGGAAGGAGATTGGAACCTTATTCTGAAGGAAACAGGAGCTATTGAAAAGGTGTCCTATAACCCCAATTCTGCTAAAGAGATGGAGAGAGAAAGAACTGGAATGATAGGAACATGTGTACAAGTGCAGCTCTATTCTGACAGGACACTAGGAAGAGGCACACCAGACTGAGTTACATACAGAGAAGGGGGGAGCACATTCAGAGGGGTCATCACCTCGTCTGTCTTGAGCTACTAGAGAGAGAGAGAAGGGAAGGTGAAAGTGTGTTGATTAAAGAAAATTTGGAGATTGGGGGAAGATTTTTTTAAATTTTACTTAATCATCCAGCCACCAATATATATCAGTTTTAAAATGTTGGTCCAGTTTGGGTGCAGTGGCTCACACCTGTGATCCCAGCACTTTGGAAGACTGAAGTAGGTGGATCACTTGAGCTCAGGAGTTTGAGACCAGCCTGGCCAACATGGGAAAACCTGTCTCTACTAAAAATACAAAAAAATAGCCGGACGTGGTGGCACAGGCCTAGAGTCCCAGCTACATGGGCTGCTGCGGCAGGAGGATCGCTTGAACCTGGGAGGTCAAGGCTGCAATGAGCTGAGATAGTGCCAGTAACACTCCAGCCTGGGTGGCAAAGTGAGACCCTGTCTCAAATAAATAAATTAAATGTTGGTCCACTTTCTGCCAGACCTTTCTTCTGGCATGTAAGTTTTCTGCTTCTTTCTCTTTTTCAAATATCGTTGTCTTCATACTGAGGTACAATTTGGTGTCCAGCTTTTTTCACTTCATACTTTATCCTAAGCACTTTCTTCAGTTGACTCCCCTGTTTCCTTGTTTTTAGAAACTCGGGTTTTTCTGGTGCTTTACTCTCATAAACAATAGTGCAGTGCATGATTCTTATGGATTAAGCTTTTTCTGAATTTAGGATTAGTACCCTGGAGTACAATCCTAGATTTGGGCTCATTGAGTAAAAGGCTAGAAACATCTTTTTTTGAGACAGAGTTTCACTCTTGTTGCCCAGGCTGGAGTGCAATGGTGTGATCTCGGCTCACTGCAACCTCCACCTCCTGGGTTCAAGTGATTTTCATGCCTCAGCCTCCCAAGTAGCTGTGATTACAGGCACCCATCACCACGCCCAGCTAATTTCTTGAATTTTTAGTAGAGATGGGGTTTCACCATGTTGGCCAGGGTGGTCTCGAACTCCTGACCTCAGGTTATCCACTCGTCTCAGCCTCTCAAAGTGCTGGGATTATAGGCATGAGCCACCACGCCCAACCTTAGAAACATCTTAAAGCTACATCATATCACCAGATTTCCTTGCAGGGGGCTGAATCAGCTTATACCGGGGGCAACCATAGAGTGCCCATTTCTCCTGCATCCCTACGTGACACTCTGCTTTCTGTGGGGCAGCCTTGTTATTGCGAAGAACCAGTACTACTAACGTGCTTTTTTAAAAAACAAAAATTGTAATAGCTTCAAGGCTGCATACACGTTGCCAGAGGAAAAGCCTGAGGGGATGGGTGGATATCGCCTTTTAATTTGCTGTTAGTTTTCCATAAAGGAACAAATGCCTAAAACTTTCCAAAACTTAGTCTAAGTTTGGACAGATCCCTGTGTCTTGAAATCTTGGTCCCCTCAGGAATAATGCTCTATTTAGAGAGGAAGAACATATAAATGTTCCCAGAAACATTATAGGGTACTTGAAAATCCTTTGGAACATCTGCAAGTATCTTGCAGATGAACGAGGTTACTAAGCTGGCCAGCAGGAACAGCCAGGTCTAATGTGCGCCCCCAGGAAGCCAGGCCTGTTGAGGTGGGTCTGTTAGAGAGCCCCAGGCTGTAGGGTTGCCCACCTGACTCAGCTGCCCAAGCATCTCTCCTCTGTCTGGCGCTTCCTCCTAGCATCCTGGTTTGTATTCCTACTTTGAGTTGAAACTGGGCTTTTCACTCCTGAGTAGCTCTAGAAGACCTAAGAACCACTTCACATCTGAGAATGATCAATTGTTGGCTGAGATGACAGAGTTATCTGGTCCAACTATTTGTTGCCTGGCCTCTGCCTGAACACCTGCAGTGATGGGGGCAGCCTAGAGCAAACTGAATTCCTCCTCGTCCACGTGACAGCCTTTCACTTTTCAGATCACCTTCCTCACACTGATGGTCTCATACAACATCATTTTGAATGTCCTCAGCTCTCTGCACCACCCACCCAACTCCACTCTGGGCCACCGCTGGTGTATCCAAGATCAGGACACCAGTCCCTGGGCACCAGGGAGTATGCTGGCCACTGAAGCAGCTTCGTTTTTCCGGCACCCATGTTGTAAAATCGACTCCCCCAAAAGTTATTGTCCACATGTGTAACTGTCCCTCCCACCATGTCCCCTTCCACACACTATTTCCCACCCCTGGCATGGGTATAGGACGTCATTTCTGTTAACCTTGTGTTGGTGGGTTTATCTCTTTTTTCTAGCGTAGTGTAGGGATTGAGGGTGCAGACCCTTTGGTCAGGGTAGGTTTAGATCCCACCCTGGGTGAGTCAGAGAGCTTCCCTGTGCCTCCGTTTCTTCATCTGTAAAATGAGACCCTCAACAGCCCCTACTTCAGATAGTGCTCAAGAGGATTGAGTTAATGTTAGCGAAGGACTTCGGATGGTGCCTGGTATGCTGTAAGATGGGTGTCATTTCTCATTGTCACACCGTTGAGAGTCCAGATCTTCATCATGTTTCCTCTGCATCTGACTGGTGAGCCTCCCAGATCAGCAGCCCACAAGGCGATCGGGTCAGGGCTGAGTAGCTGCCAGCAGAGGCTGGAGACTTGAGGCTGTCGTGCAATCCATTCTCGCCTTTGTCTGCTTTCTGTCTTTTGTTTTCTGCTCTGTGTGTGTTTGTTTTTGTGATTGTTATTTTAAGTCTCTCTCAGGAATGCTTCGTGATGCTCAGCCCGGTCAAGCGATCTGTATACATCCTCCATTATTTCTTCTCCATTTCTTTTTAATCATATTTCCTCCTCTGAACTTCTACCCTCAGATTTATTCATTATCTAACAAATACTGATGGTGCAGCTCCATGGCCCAAAGCTGTTCTGGGGGCCACAGCAGTGATATGAGTGTCCTGGGGAAGCTGACATTCCACGGACACAAGCAGCCATTCGTCTGTCTCATTCCGCCAAGACCTCTGTGAGGTCTTGTTGACCCCTTTGCATGATGATCTTAAGTTTGTTCACCACTGTTCAGCATATGGGCATTAAACCCTATTTTTGCATTCTCCTTCCCACTATTTTCTCCTACTGATTAAGCGGTATCTCCTCCACTGTTATTTTTCTTCCAGTGACATATTCAGGAAGAGCAAGATCTCAAAAAATATAAATGTTGATGTTCCCCATCCAATCCCGGTTGTCATTAGAATGTTTATACTTATCCACGCAGTGCTTCAGTTCTGGAATATATTCATCTTTACCTTACCCTGGTTAGCAATAACAGCAACAGGAATTAAAACCAGTGGGCTACTGTTACAGCTTGGCAGGTGTAACTTCAGAGAACAAAGGGGATTCTTTTTTGTTTTTTGTTTGTGATTTTGTTTATTCATTTATTTATTTTTTTGAGACAGGGTCTCCCTCTGTCACCCAGGCTAGAGTGCAGCGAAATCACAGCTCACTGCAGCCTCGACCTCCTGGGCTCAAGAGATCCTCCCACCTCAGCCTTCTCAGTAGCTGGGACTACAGGTATGTGCCACCATGCCTGGCTAACTTTTTGGGTTGTTTTGTAGAGAAGAGGTCTCCCTGTGTTGCCCAGGCAGGTTTTGAACTCCTGGGCTCAAGAGATCCACCCTCTTCAGCCTCCCAAAGTGCTGGGATTACAGGTGTGAGCCCCCACACCCATCCTGGAGATTCTTCTTCATTTTCTCCTGACCTGAAGAGTCAGCACACTTTCTTTTTGTGTTCTCTAAAAAGGTTAAATTCAGAGATTTTTTTTTTTTTTTTTTTAGATGGAGTCTCGCTCTGTTGCCAGGCTGGAATGCAATGGCGTGATTTCGGTTCACTGCAACCTCCGATTCTCTGGTTCAAGTGATTCTCCTGCCTCAGTCTCCTGAGTAGCTGGGATTACAGGCACACACCACCACGCCTGGCTAATTTTTGTATTTTTAGTAGAGATAGGGTTTCACCATGTTGGCCAGGATGGTCTCGATCTCCTGACCTCGTGATCTGCCCGCCTCAGCCTCCCAAAGTACTGGGATTACCAGCGTGAGCCACTGCACTCAGCCAGAGAATTATTTTTAACATGCTATAAAATTAACTTTTGGGGTTTTAACAAATTGTACCACCACAATCATGATATAGAACAATTCCACCCACCCCCAAATTTCCCTGGGCATCCCCTTTGTAGTGAGCCCCAAACCCTGGCAACTGCTGATCCACTCTCCATCCCTCTGGTTTTGCCTTTTCCAGGATATAAGTGGATTCGTATGGTGTGTAGCCTTTTGATTCTGGCTTCCTCTGCTCACTAATATGCACTTGAAATTCATCCACATTGCTGCAGGTATTAGTAGTTCTTTTTCATTACCGAGCGGTTTTCCGTTGTATGGATGAACCCGTGTTTGTTTATTCATTCATCTGCTGAAGAACATTTGGATTGTTTCTAGTGTGGGAAGATTATGTATATAACTGTTATAAATAGTCACGTAAAGTTTTTGTGTGAGAATATAATCTTCTAATAAGGCATTTCACTTTTCATCTCTCTTGTTCCACTCTGCTTTTTTCATTTCTTTTCTTTTTTCTTTTCTTTTTTTTTTTTTTTTTTTTTTCGAGATGGAGCCTCGCTCTTTCGCCAGGCTGGAGTGCAGTGGCATGATCTCAGCTCACTGCAAC
Organism: Homo sapiens; assembly: GCF_000001405.40. Lineage (NCBI taxonomy): Eukaryota > Metazoa > Chordata > Mammalia > Primates > Hominidae > Homo > Homo sapiens. Next base: position 160,404 of record NW_025791763.1, read on the forward strand.
CTCTGCCTCCCAGGTTCAGGCGATTCTCCTGCCTCAGCCTCTCGAGTAGCTGGGAATACAGGCACCTGCCAACACGCTCAGCTAATTTTTGTATTTTTAGTAGAGATGGGTTTTCACCATGTTGGCCAGGATGGTCTCGATCTCTTGACCTTGTGGTCCACCCACCTCGGCCTCCCAAAGTGCTGGGATTACATGTGTGAGGCACCACACCTGGCCATTCCACTCTGATTTTAAAGGTTGTGGAAATTTTGGTAGAAACTCTGCCTGGTAAGTTACAGATGGTACTGCATCTTTTGAAGGAATGCCCCCATTCTTTCAAAAGATTGATTTCACGAATTCCCAAACATATGCCAAAGAATTTCTCACCTCTTGAGAAGTCTTGGACCACATTCCCCATCTGCTGGAATTTATGTTCTGCCCGAAGTGGATCGCCTACTTAACTTTTAATTTTTTGTCTGTGGGTTGATACCTTTCTAAATCACAAAATCACCATGATGCTAAGCAAAAGATGAAGACGCTAAAGGTGGTGAGGTCCAGGAAACTCAGAATAGGGCTTTGTCGTCTCATGGACACATGGGAAGAAAGGTGAGGTCAGCTTGAGTGTGCAGATGTTGGCATCATTGAAGGTGAAAGGGTGGCTTGGATTGCAGAGGCTCTGCAGGAGAGGGTTGCTGGGGATGGGCCGAGGTTTGGGGATTTAACTTGTTTCTGAAGGGTGTTCTCAAATCCTGCTCTGGATAATTCCCCAACTACCATTTAATCAGCTCCATTAAACCCTGCCCTGTCTAGCGCACTGTGCTCCAGACAGGGCTCTCCTGGGCTCCCAGTAATAGCTCAATTGTGTGTAAGTGGCTGTGAAGAGGCTCTGTGTGCTGGATGAATAGGCCTCATCTCCATGGAAACCAGAGCTTACTGAGGGGCTGACCTCTGACCCACTTGTTGCCACCATACTGTTAACCACTGGTACCTCTTGGGTGGAGAAAGAAAGCAAGGAAATGGCTGTCAGAATTGTTTTCATTTTCCCTTAGTTTAGGCCTGGGTCCCCACTAAGTACAAATAACACGCTCATATTAATCCAAAGCACTTGGATGTGAGTTTGGCTTCATTATGGACTTTGTCTGTCCCTACCCTGTCTCCCCGAAGCCATTTCTTTATCCTACAATCTAGGATGCAGTGGAGTGAGCAGGGTTGGTTTATCACCACCCTCTGGGGATGCTGGGAATGTGGTTCCTAAGGGGCAGTGTGGAAAAGAGGAAGGCCCCGTGCTGGGAGCCCCACCCCCTAGGCTCAGGGCTGGCTCCCTTGTGGTGTGACCATGGGCACATTTCCTCATCTGTACCATGGAGCTAATCCCTACCTGCAGCCCAGAAGCCTCGCGGAGCTCAACTAGGAAGAGGCAGCCAATGTGTTATACCTGTGACGCTCTCCACTAGCCAAGGCATTAGGATCTTAAGGGCAAGGGCAAAACAGGTACCTTTTTAGCAATGACATAAATAAAAACTTGGCTACACCTTATAAGGGGCCAGGTGCGGTGTGGCTCATGCCTGTAATCCCAACACTTTGGGAGGCCAAGGTGGGAGCACTGCTTGAGCCCAGGCATTCAAGATCAGCCTAGGTAACATAGGGAAAGTCTGTCTCTACCAGAAATAAAAACCCACCAGGCTGGGTACTGTGGCTCATGATTGTAATCCCAGCACTTTGAGAGGCGGAGGCAAGAGGATCGCTTGAGCCCAGGAGTTCAAGACCAGCTAAGCAATATAGTGAGACCTCGCCTCTACAAAAAAAATCAAAAAATTAGCCAGGCATGGTGGCATGCCCTCAGCTACTTGGGGAGCTGAGGTGAGAGGATTGCCTGAGCCCTGGAGGTCAAGGCTGCAGTGAGCTGTGATTGCACTGCTGCACCCCAGCCTGGGTGACAGAGCAAGACCTTGTCTCAAACCACGCCATCCCCCCCCCAAAAAAAACCCAACCTTGAGACTCATGCCAAGATGGCTTTAACAACCCTGAAGTGAGTTATTCACTCAAGCCCGGTCTGTATCAGTGAGTATTTCAGACCCTATGGCACTCTGTCCATACAGGCAGATTTTTCTGGACTCTGTTCTTTGCTTTGAGATGACCTGGGTCACCATGGTTGTCCTGGACTCCAGGAGACATCACAGGCAAAATCAGGTCCATACTTCCCCCGTTTGTCTGCAGAGAGGCCTCTGGTGTGGGTCAGATCCAGGGGCTTTCCTTCTATGTTTGCAGCTGGAGGCCTCTGGATGCAATTGTGTGAACCCCCTGGTGTGTCCCTGGAGCCCCAGAATGTAAGAATGAATTTTCAAGAGAAAGGTGAGAGACAGGTGCTGGGCTTGTCAGATTTCTGGCTGGGAGGCATCCCATAAGGTAAGTCAGGTAATTTCTTGGAAAGAGAGCCTTGCCGGGGATCAGTTATATGTATCTACCCATGTATCATGCTCTGGGGGCTGTGTTGGGGGCAGGGGCAACATAAGAGGTAAACAGAGTCCCAAGTCTGAGCTCCTGGGAGAAAGTCAGAATGCAAAGTAACAATTTCATTTTAGAGGAGCGTCAAAAGTCTCATGGCTTTCTAGGAATTGCCGAGTAATAGGAACCAGGAGGAGAGAAGGAGGGACTGCAGGGTCATTTGCAGTGACTGAGATTTCCAAATGCTTTGTTCCCTAAACCTGTCTACCACCACGGGGCGAGGGCATCAGCTCTTTGCATCCCTCAGACCCCAGGTCACTGTCGTAAGCTCTTTTCTTGGAACTCTGATCTCAGATAACCTGCATTAGTCTGAAATAGGATGCTGAGATACCACCATAGGCTCAGGAGAGGTGCTTTTTAGACCTTTCTGGTTGGGTTTTCCCATCTGCCCTGAAGTATGGTCCAGGAGGTGGTGATCATTTGGAGCACGTCTTAGGACTGGAGAGGCCCAAAATACCTTCAAGCCTTTTGTTATAGTTCTAAGGTATTTGTTAGAACTCCTGGACAGTTTGTCTAGTGGTTTGTTGTGTTTTTTAAAATTTCCAGCAACTTGCCCACACACTTGGCCAAGCTTTGGACTGAGAAGGATGCAGTGGTGCAATCACAGCTCACAGTTATAACAAGGATCCTTCACTGGATCCTTGTTATAACTGTGGCCCCTGATTGGAGCCCTGGTGACTCCGAGGTCTGCAGTGCAGCCCCCTCTCAGCCTGTCGCTTGCTGTCTGGGGCTTCCACAGTGTGGAGCAGCTGCTCCTTTCCTGGGCTACAGGAAGGCTATGTACAACCTGCACAGGCATCCACAGGATCACTCACTCTAAGTGGTTCAACATGCTTTTCCATCCTCAGAAAATGTCACTATCCATGTACCAACTATTTACAGGAGATTGGGTTGGGGGCAGTGTTCCCTCTGCCCCAAGTTGTGGGGAGCCAGAAATACACATATATTAACCCTGGGCTTGGAGAGTGGAGAAGAGAGCATCTCTTCATTCTGCAGCTGTGTAAACAGTGGGGTTGGGGGGTGGGTTGCAAAGCTAAGGATAATGGGGGAGGGAGGAGGGGCATGAAGAAGGAGGGAGGGGGCTGGTGGGGGGCTGCCAAATCAGGCAGGGTCAGGGAGGAGAGGGTAAGAACAGGAGGCCTAAAGCGGGGTTCGCGGGCTCCCTGGCTCTTCACATATGGAGGACATGCCTCCGCAGAAGCGGGAGGCATGCAAGCAAAGTGTGAGCGGACAAAGAGGAAAGTGACGCAGGGGGAAGGTGATGCGGGCAGGACCCAACAGGTGGTGGCATTCCAGGCGAAGGAGGCTTCCGCCCTGGGCCGCCAGGGTCAGTGGGAGGAAAGGCTCTCCCTGCCTGGCTCAGTTGAAGCAGATGATTATTAGGTTCCTGCTGTATACCCAGAGCAGCCCTGGCGCAGTGGCAGCGAGCGAGGGAGGTGGAGATTCAGTTGTGTAAGACATAGGCACTATTCACTAACAGTCCATAAGTGCATGGGGAAGAAAGGCCAGCACACAGACGACTCCAGGCTTCGGCACTTTGTGTCCTGTGAAGGGTTTTGGAGGAAGGGGAGGAGCCCCGAAGTCAGGGCAGGCAGCGGGAGGCGGGCTTAGGAGCTTCAGCTGGGGCAGGGAAGGCCGTTCTCCAGGTACTGGGGGAAGGGCACAAGCAAACAGAGACACGGAGCCTTCAGCTGCCTTATCTGCAAGGAAGATGACTACTCTTTTGGGGGGATTCAGAGCAGCATCTTATCCGGCACATGGCACCCGTGGTAGGAACTGAGTCATCCCGCACAGCCGGGGCCGTGATTCCTTCATTGATTCTTCCTTCAACGCTTCCTTATGGATTGCCTTCTGCCTCCAGTCACTGTCCTAGGAGCTGAGGATGGGGCAGAAAACCACACAGGCAAAGTCTATGCCCTCATGGATATCACATTCTGCTGGGGGGAAACAGAGAGTGAACAGATGGAAACACCCAGACAGTAATGATACACCATACAGAGGACTGCGCAGCACAGTGGGGTAGTATCTGAGGGGCTACTTTAGGTTGGATGGACAGGGAACAATCTTTTGGAGCATTTTATTTATTTATTTATTTATTTATTTATTTATTTATTTATTTATTTATTTATTTTTCTTGAGACAGGGTCTTACTCTGTCGCCCAGACTGGAGTGTCGTGGCGCAATTTCCACTCACTGCTGACTCCGCCTCCCGAGGTCAAGCAGTTCTTCTGCCTGAGCCTTCCAAGTAGCTGGGACTACAGGCGTGATCCACCACCACACCGACTAATTTTTGTATTTTTAGTAGAGATGGAGTTTCATCATGTTGGCCAAACTGGTATTGGAGCATTTTAAACAGGGGTCCAGGGGTATGACTAAATCTGATATAAAATTTAACGTAATTCCTTAACTGTGTAGAATTTAACTGTGTAGAAAAGAGATGGAAGGAAGGGTTAAGAGTTGGGTCCCTGTTTTGGAGATGTATATACCCCACTTCCCTCACTGGACCAGCCCGCCAGGCTGAGGCTCCCCCTGCAGTCCCTGTATGCTCCTTCCTATGCAGTCGGAGGCCTTCCCTGTGGTCCTTTGCCCTGCTTCTCTGCTGCTGTGAGGGTTGCTCCCTGCCCTCCAGACCCCTCCCTGCCCTGCCACGGACACAGACCCCAGGCAGCATCCCTCCCCCTCATGCTGGGCACAGTGTGGACTGTTTCTCCTCTATGTGCAAACTCATCACAGTGTGGACTGTTTCTCCTCTATGTGCAAACTCTTCCCAACCCATCATGCCCTGGAAGATGCCATGCCCCCAAACGCAGTGGGAGCAGTGGATTTGGCCCAGGTCTGTCCCTGGCCTGCTGGATGACTTTGCACCAATCTCTCCAGGGTGGTACTGTCCAATAAAAATGAAATATAAGCTGAAGCAGTAATTTTAAATTTTCATGTAGCCACATTAAAAGAGAATGAAGATCGGGCGCAGTGGCTCATGCCTGTAATCCAGGCACCTTGGGAGGCTGAGACAGGCAGATCACTTGAGGTCAGGAGTTCGAGACCAGCTTGACCAACATGATGAAACCCCATCTCTACTAAAAATACAAAAAATTTAGCCGGGCATGGTGGCACGCACCTGTTAATCCCACCCACTGGGGAGGATGAGGCAGGAGAATCACTTGAACCTGGGAGGCAGAGGTTGCAATGAGCCAAGATCGCGCCACTGCACTCCAGCCTGGGCAACAGAGCGAGACTCCATCTAAAAAAAAAAAAAAAAACAAAAAAAAAACAAGAATGAAAAGGAAGCAAGTAAATTAATTTTAATAGTATATCTTATGTAACCCAATTCATCAACAGTATTAGCATTTCAACATGTAATCAATTTAAAGACTGATTACTGAGACGTTGGATGTTCTTTTCTCGTACTGAGTGTTCCGTGTGTGTTTCCTGTGGCCTGCATGCCATTTCCAGGGCTCCATAGCCACATGTGGCAAGTGGCCACTGCACTGCATGGACCACGTTGCACAGAGCAGCTCTGGGAGCCTCCCTTTCCTCCTCTGCACAATGGAGATGATTATGTCCCTGCACCTCCCTCTCTCACAAGGCTGTTGTGAACACAGAGGAAGCCGGGGGACTGCTGTGGAGATGAAGGATGTTTTAAACCTCAGGCTGTCATCGCAGAGGGTGTGGATGGCAAACCGGAGAGGAGTCAAAGGGCTGATATGGGAACTTCCCTCCTGTTTCTAACAGTTCCCGTGTTAGAGGTGAAGGAGATAACTGAGAAACACACAGATGATAAAACCATTGGCTGGGCATGGTGGCTCACACCTGTAATCCCAGCACTTTGGGAGGCCAAGGTGGGTGGATCGCCTGAGGTCAGGAGTTTAAGACCAGGCTGGCCAACATGGCCAAACCCCATCTCTACTAAAAATACAAAAAAAAAAAAAAAATTAGCTGGACATGGTGGCGAGTGCCTGTAATCCCAGCTACTCTGAGGCAGGAGAATCGCTTGAACCCAGGCGGCAGAGGTTGCAGTGAGCCAAGATCACACCAGTGCACTCCAGCCTGGGCAACAGAGCAAGACTCTTGCCTCAAAAAAAAAAAAAAAAAAATCAGTTGCCTGAAATAGTGCTTGTACTTACAGATTAAGTCACCAAGGGGCAGAATTTTGTGCCTGCTGAAATTTGAAAAAATAGTCTTGCAGCCAAAAGAGAGAAAAATGTGTTTCTTTCCTAAACTATGGTAATAGTAAAAGTATGTGATGCTTTTTGTTAAGTTTTATTTTAATGGAAATATTAAATCTGTGCCTTTTGTTTTTGTTTTTAAGGAAATGGAGAAAGGAAGGAAGCTGGAGGGTTTAAATTCATTATGCTAGCTTTAGATTCTGCAAAATCAGGAAATCAGAAAGTACAAGTTCTCAGAGTTAGTGACATTTAACTCAATTGGGAAGGGCCCGCCCAAGGTCACCCTTTTAAAGGGTTTGTCTTCCTTTTCAACATTTTTTACACAGCATGTCTTTTGGAGCTCAGCAGTTTTTGCTCTCTTTCTTTCTCAGTGTGGGAACAGAAGTTGGCACACGAGTATTTTCCTCATTTGACTCTTGAAATGCCCTGTCCTCAGTGCCTTCTACATGGTGGTGCACAGTAGAAGTTTGTTGACTGACTCATTGAGTCTAGAGGATGGGAGCAGGGGAACAGCAGGGAAGAGCCTCTTTGCACTCTTTGATCCAGAGGACTGGATGCACTTTGTTTTTGTTTTTTTTTTTTTTTTTTTTTTTTTTTTGAGATGGAGTTTCACTCTTGTTGCTTAGGTGAATGCAATGGCACCATCTTGGCTCACTGCAACCTCTGCCTCCCGGGTTCAAGCGATTCTCCTGCCTTAGCCTCCTGACAGCTAGGATTACAGGTGCCCGCCACCATGCCCAGCTAATTTTATATTTTTAGTAGAGACAGGGTTTCACCATGTTGGTCAGGTTGGTCTCGAACTCCTGACCTCAGGTGATCTGCCCACCTTGGCCTCCTAAAGTGCTGGGATTATAGGCATGAGCCATCGGGCCCAACCTGGGTACACTTTCAAGCAGTCCTTGTTCATGCATGATAATTCAGGCCCCAGATATATTTTTATTTTATTGACTTCCTTAGAAACTTAAAAAAAGAAATTAAATACAGCCACTGTTTATTTTTAGTATTTTAACTAAACTGTCTGTTGGACTCTATTTGTATTTCCTTAGGACCTGGATAACTCCGTGAGTCCAGGAATAGTTTGCTTTTTGGTAAATATTCCTTTCAGGTTTCTCTTTGCTTGCTTGCTTTTTTTTTGGGCGGAGGGGGGCGGTGGTGCGGGGGGGCAAGAATAGATTTTTGAATCATGAGAACCTAAAAACATCTGTAAGTCTAAGGGACCATCTTAAAGAAGCCAGTGAGAACTTCTTCTATTATCTGGATCACTTAAAATCAAACCAAGCATTTACCTACAAGGCCCCAGGGGCTCTGACATTTGTGATCTCATAATTCTTCCATTGATACCATGAGGCTGGAAACCCTATGGTTGCTGGCTTCCCTGGGTCACTTGGCTGCCTCTGGGCTGCCAACATAGAACCCACGTCACATAAAGCCCCGGCCCAAGTAAAATGCCAACATCCAGGCCAAATCCACACTTTTCCATTTGTGAACATGTCGCGCTTAAGAATTACCTCCCTTCTTTCTGGGATGGCTCAAATAATGGAAGGAATGGTCCTCCATCACCTTGAGGTTTTGTCAGCTTGACGTCCTCATCCAAGCCTGACCACAGCCGTTATGACAGCATGAATGCAAACACCACCTCTCCTGACCTAGACGCTGCACCCGGCTGTGCCCGCTTCTGCTGTAGGGAGAGTCAGTGAGGTCCATCTGCAGCCTTCCTCCTTTTCCTTGAATGGGGCTTGGCATTGAGGTTTGTGCACACCCTGTATAGAAGGCAAATGTTGAGGCCAGCCTTGTCCCCAGGCTCAGTCTTCCTGAAGACTTTGTCACTCCTGCTCACAGCACCCACTTTCTCCCCTTCCACACGGGATGTGTTGCTTCCTCCTGTTTCTTCTCTTTGCAGATCTCCAGTTTTCTGTCTCCTTCAAGAAATCTCCCCAGGGCCTCTATATCCCCTTTTCTCTGCCTCCCTATTGAAGCAGATGTTTTACCTCAGCCTTTCCTAGTACACTGTACTGTTTTAAAAACTATTGAATGAAAGGGCATGTTTTCCTTTCCTTTCCCCATTTAGATTACACACCTCTGGCAGTGGGGCCTCCAGCAAGTCTTAAAGATCTCGACGCACCGACATCTTGGCACATAGTAGTTAACAATAAGTAACTGTTCAATTGGCTTCTAGTTGAACCTCATATGTCTTGGTTAACATGTGCAGGATTGGTAGGCATTCAGCCCCAATTATTCCGCCCTTAACTCATTTTTGCAGTTTATTAATAATCAGTTGGCACGCAGTTTCGAAAGAACTAATTCTGTAATAACATGTTATGGCTACTCCTCGGCGCCATTACATGCCTGAGGTCCCTTGCTGTCCCTTTGTGTTTTTGATGAAAGGTAACAGCCTGGTGTTCCCAGCCGTCACCCAGAGGTGGGAGCAGATCCGGCTGCTGCAGCTTATTGCTAGGAATGGGTGAGGCTGAGTGGAAGCTTTAGTAACTCAGGTGCGGCTCTTAAGCTTTGTTTTGAGTTTCAAAAGGGCTGTTTTGTCCCTTACTCGTGAAGTGGCCTTGTGTGACATAATGGCCCCCTCTGTGCAGGGTTCGAGGGGAAGGGAAGGGGAACATGCCCAGCGACTCCACGTGGGGAAGTTGCATTTCCACACCATTCACAGGGGATCCAGTGTTTTCGGAATTGTCTGGGTGTGAACAGCATAAGAGGTGCTAGAAACTCAGCAAGGGAAGGGGGAGCTGGGCCAGGAGGAGAAGGCTGGGGATGGGCTGAGGAGAGAGAGCTTCCTGGCCAGAGGCAGCCCCAGGCATGGGTCTTGGGTTCTGAGTGGGCAGGATTCTGGCTCAGGGTGAGAGGTGAAACTTCGTTCAGGAGATATACGCTGAGCCATCCACTACGTGCCAGGCACCTTAGAAAGGGCCGGGTATTCATATTGTGACTTCACACGGCTCCCTGCAGAGTTGACGTTGGGAGCTGCCCTGCTAGCCACGGACCACATTGTGAACAGCACCCCCTGGGGGTGGGAGATGTGGTGGGCGGAGTTCAGGATCCAGCCACAGGGAAAGAACGAACAGGCAAACTGTGGGATCCCGGCCTGCCAGGGAGGGTTCAGGGTAAAGCCTTCAGTTTGCTTGTTCATTCATTTATTCAATATTTATTGAAGGCCTCACAGGGAGGTGACAAACTCTATAGACACATACACGGGGGAAGAGCACGCCAGGCAGAGGGAACAGCAGGTGCAAAGGGGATGGCGCTTGGTAGGTTCCAGGAGCGGGCAGAACAGAGTGGCTGGAGCAGAGTGGGCAAGGCTGGGGGGCAGCACTGAAGGAGGCACAGTCAGAAAGGGGACAGGGGGCTGGTCACAGGGGCATGCAGCCCATGATGAAGCCTTTTGACTGAGATGGGGAGTAGAGAGGGGTCTTGAGCAGAAAGGTGACGTGATCCAACCTTTGTTTTAACGTAGCGCCATGGCTGCCATGATATAATCATAGACCGAAGGGGTCAAGGGTAGAAAATCAGAGACAAGTTGTTGGGCCAGTGGGGCCTGGATGGTGGCAGTAGAAATGGGGAAAGTTCTCAGATTCTGGACCCATTTTGAAGGAGGAGTGACAGGATTTGCTGATGGAACAAATGTGGGGAGCAAGAGGAAGAAGAGTTAGGAATGTCTCCTGGGCAGTGGGAAAGAAGAAAGTGTCATTGACAGAAATGGAGAAGACTGTGGGAGGGGCAGGTTTGGGAGGAAATAATTAGGAGCTCTGTTTGGGACATGTTGTATTGGAGATACTTTTTGGACATCCAGTGGGGAGAGTGATAGGTGGGGTAATTGGGTCTAGAAGTCAGGGATGAGGTCTAGGTTAGAGACAGAGACTTTAGTCATCAGCATGTTGATGGTACTTCAAGCCATGAGACTGGAGGAGATCCCTGAGACTGAAGCTGAGAAAAAAAGAGGTCAAGGGCTGAGCCGTGGGCACTACAGCTTTTGCACACTGGAGAGAAGAGCAAGAACTGGCAAAGGAGACTGAGAAGGAGCAGCCAGAGAGGTAGGAGGAGACCTGGTGGGCGCCGCATTCCTGCAGCCAAGGAGGGGAGTGTACGAAGGAAGAGGGGCTGCTGCTGAAGGTCGAGTGAGATGAGGGCTGAGAAACAACCATTAGGTTTAGCAAATGCAGGTCTTTGCTGTCCTCAAAATATAGACTTGGCACTCTGCCCGCTAGCAGGACAGATTCCAGAATAGAATCTGGTATCAAGACAGATACCAGGGAGAGGAGGCTCTTCAAAATCCCAGGCACGTCTGGCCCCCTAGGAGACTCAGGAAAAAGTCTCCAGACTTGGAACCTAAGCTGGACTGCCTTATCTGAGAAGATTGGTGTAATCAATGGTTTGGTGTCAGGCTCCCATAGAGAATGGGGTGAAGCTGACTATGGCTCAGCACTTGCTTAGGATAGTGGGCCATAGGGGGTTCCCTTCTTGGATGGAGGGCCGAAGGCAAGCCTCTTCACTGGGCATCAGTCACCAGTCCCTCTTCCCTCTAAGATGGGGTAGGTTGGCTGACAAGGCTTCCCACTGGCACAGTGCAACCAGAAGTCCCAGATGGGGACCTGGAACCATGTGGCTCATCTTTGAGCTACAAGGTCAGAGCCAGGGGCCTCTTTAAAACAGACCGGGCCAGGCACGGTGGCTCACATCTGTAATCCCAGCACTTTGGGAGGCCGAGGCGGGCAGATCACGAGGTCAGGAGATCGAGACCATCCTGGCTAACACGGTGAAACCCCGTCTCTACTAAAAAAAATACAAAAAATGAGCTGGGCATGGTGGTGGGCGCTTGTAGTCCCAGCTACTCGGGAGGCTGAGGCAGGAGAATGGCATGAACCTGGGAGGAGGAGCTGGCAGTGAGCCGAGATCGCACCACTGCATTCCGGCCTGGGCAACAGAGCGAGACTCCATCTCAAAAAAAAATTAATTAATTAAAAAAAAAAAAAAACAGACCAACAGTTGCCCATAGACCAACAGCAGTTTGTCAGATGGAAACAGTTAAAGGATGGCCATGTCCTTCTTGGGCAGTGCAGTGCCGGTTTTGGTCACCCGGTGACTGACCAGCTCTCCTTTGCCCAGAAAGATCTCCAAGTGAATGGCAGTCAGGTGTCCCCCATGAATGTGGTTTAGGACAGGACTGTCCACAGTGCTGACTCAATGCAATGGTGTTATTTATTGCTTCTGCTAGTGGTGGTGGTTGGCTTGGTTCTGATCTCCAGATGTAACAGTGCCATCCCGGCAAGTGAAATCATGCATTGGGAAAAAATCGAGGATGGACATCTCAACACAGTTGGGTGTAGTTTCCACTTGCAATTACTCATAAGCTTCACAGGCTTAGTGGAATCTTAAACTGCCCTCAAAGGAAAACTCAATTAGATCAAAATGGATTTAATTACTTAATGAATTCTAAATGTGTCAAAATTGACAGGCAAGCTTATTTGGGGGCCTGGGAGAGGGAAGTACTATGAAGAGTGTCACATGCCTTTCATGACAGAGCAGAAGGGAGCTCACCTCCCACACAGCTCCACCCACATATTCCCAGATTGACATACTTAACGACTCACATCCATTATCTCATTTCATCCTCAAAATAGTTCTAAGAATTAAGTGCAGCTGGTATAATCACTCCTATTTAATAGACAGTGAGTTGAGGCTTATTGAGGTGATGGATTTGCCCCTGGCAAGGCGAGGCTCTCCACGCAGGTCTCCTGACTTCTCCATCTGGCCGTTGCTCGGTGGGGGAGGAAGCAGCCCCTCTGACAAGTGTACTCATGGATATTGCCACCAGCATTTATTAATAACAGATGAGCCAAGTGCTCAGCAGAATTGCAATCCTAAGGACTCTCAAGCATTTCTCTCAAGATATTTTTTTCTTATCTCATGAAATCATGCAGTCTAGTCATTATCTGATACATGTACCCCCATGATGGTTTTGACCACCACCCTCCTTCCCTCTTGTCCACTTGTAGGACAGGAGAATTGCTCTGTGCCTGATGTCACCATAGGTCCTGGCTACCCACCATTCTCTGTAAAGAGTGAGTGCCAAGAGCTTTCAGTGAGGTACATTCCACTGGAGTGGGAGGTTTTAGCAGCTCTTTCCTTCATAACTGAAACAGTTGATTGATTGTGCTGTTACCAGGCTCTGTTTGTTTGCCCCACTGGGTTTGCATCCCTACAAGAAGCCCCCTCTGTCTTTTTGCAGGTGCTTGAGCAAGTACACCATGCTAGTGAGCAGTTCAACAGAATCCATTTTCTTAGAGAAACTGGTGAAGTGAACACAGCTTACCAGGATACAATATCCAAATTAGCACACTACCTTTTATTGTTATTAATATCACCATGACCGCTATTATTAACCTCTCCCTCTTATACAAACACATTCACTCATATGCATCCTATTTCAGAAGGTTTATCTTCTTAAAGACTGATATAATTTTCACATTTTACTTTAAACAGTAAATACAAGTGTAGGAGGCCAGAAAGCAACAGCTAAGTTAGACCCTAGTCCGTAAATTCCAATCCCTTATAAGAAGGAATCTCTTCCAATGAGACCTTTTGTTTTTCCTGCCCCAAGGTGAATGTTTTGAGAACCTTTGCATCAAATCAATTCAGATACTTGTCTTTAACTTGCAAAACTTAAACAAATGGACTTTTTTCTGCTAGCACTATTTTAGGATTCACAGAAAATCCAGTCTCCTTAAGCAGTTGAATTGAGGTTTTTGCCAAAATTGTGAGGGTTTGAAAATCGGCTTTAAATTTAGAGCATGCCCATGGTAAGGTTGCGCGGGTGTCCTATGGCTCTGTAGAATTAAGCATTAACGTTGCAGCTGGATTCCATTTCTTTGTGAACATGCAAATTAACATCTTCAGTGGCTTCCTCTGCCTGCATACTTATATACCAGCCTCCAAATGTGTTATTTGTTATTAAAATCACCGTATTTATGTGTGGGGGTTTGCGGTGACTTTCCCAGATGCAGTGATCCTAATTGTAACCATACAGGTTATTCAAACATAGCTTGGATATTTAAAACAGAAGCGAATCTAGGCCAGCATGCAGTTAGTTGAGTGTAATGTAGATGTGAAAAGACTCCTTGTGGCCGGTAGTGTTCGGTTCTGTTAGCTCCAAGAATATATCTTCCTATGGTGATTGAATAATGTGCAACTGACCTGGGTCCTTCCAGGTACCTACTTTTAAACCAGGAGTTATAATAGATTTATAAATCTTTAGGCTTTACTGGTATTTGCTTTCTGTGAACAGGAAATCTAGGGAGCTAACTGCCCCCCTGCAATATGAAAGGCACATGTTCCCCAAATGTGACTTTGGGGGCTCTCTGGGGTTTAATAACAAACACTTGCTTGGTTTTTGGGACTGGCGTTTCTTCAACTCACCCATGCATGGGAACCGTCTGAAGAGATTGTGTAAACGCAGATTCTACTTCAGTAGGGCTGTCGTGGGGCCTGGAACTCTGCATTTCTAACACAATTCCACATAGTGCTGATGGTACTGGTCCAGGGAACACACTTGGAGTAGCAGGATCTGCAGCCAAATAAATACAACCCAGTCTCCAAACTAGAGCGGACAGGCCCCCAGGAGGCTGTTTCCATGGGCCCTGGGTTTTGCTAGCCTTCCCGTCCCACTTATACACACTTACATTTGCAGAGGAGAAATGGTGAACACCTGACAACATTTGTTTAATTTTTATCGTTGTGGGGCCTTTTGGGAGGGAGGAAGAAGAGTATCTCAGCCAACCACCAACTCCCACCCCCTAAACCATCAAGATTGCTAGCGTTGTGCTTGTAGTTTTCCAAAAATGTACATGAACATAGCTGATCCACCCACTTTGGTGGATAACCTTGCCAATAACAGAGGCAGCTCAGCCAGGAGTGAGTGATTGGTCCAGAATAAACCCACCCAGGTGGCAGTCAGTTCTTCACTGCCCTGTTTAGACCTGGCCTGAGGATTGACATTTCCTTTAACTGTCTCAAATGAGAGCTATCCTGGGCTTCTTCCAGCAACCCGTGCCTCCTCCCAGACTCTGCAATCCTGTGGGTGCTCCATAAATACTTGTTGACTGACTTGACTCATTCCCTTGGGGAGGGAAAAAAAAAACAGGAGGAAGTAGGGAAAGGGGGAGTGAACTTGGTTTTCCGTCTCTTGTAAGTATCATAAGGAAATACCTAGCCTAATGTCTGTTGGCAGACTATGACTGTTTGCATTCTACAAAGTAGCATTTGAAATTTTAGTTTTTGCTTTTCACTAGTTGCAGTTTTTCTCTGTGTGCTGAATGCAGAAAGTAGTTCCCTTTGGAATTTCCATCTGGGAACCCAGCAGGAGAACCAGCTGCTGCCACTGCCGCTACTGCTAAGGAAAAAGTGGTCCCTCGCTGGCCTGTGCTGGTGTGGGCCCCGATTCTCGTGCAGTTACCCTTGCATGGGTGAGCAGAGTCCTGGGTATTTGCTCTGGCGACACCAGTTTTTGATTGTTTACAGGCTGGGTTTTCCCTAGTTGTTCAGCTGTGAGAATCTGAGGATATGTTTGTTCTTTCCTAATTGCATCCTGTGCCTCTTTCCTTTTTTTCCCTCCAGAAGTGGAAGGCATTTTTCTGCCTTGATAAAGTGTACCAGGCCAAGGGGCCTGTTGTACTCCAAAACCCCTCTTCTCAAGGTGACCCCAGTTGCCACTCACCTGCTTTTCTGGGGGTCTGCGGAACCTTCCTCACAGCCTGCACAACTGTCTCCCTTAAGAACCCTTCCTGGTACAAAGCCTCCATAAAACTCATTTGCTCTTGAGTCTTAGTTCTGGTGGAACATATCCCTGAGTTTTTGCACACTGGGCCTCCATCCAGGCCTTTTCCTGGGAGAGTAGAAAACCCATGGGCTCTGTGGGGTGGGGAAAAGCCCTCAGTTCTGGGTCTGGAAGCATCATCAGTTGCAGCCATGAGCAAGGTTTTGCCATTCTGTGCCTCAGTTTCCTCATCTGTGAAAAGGTGATAACATTATTTCTTTATCCCACTATGTTGTTCTGAGGATTAAGTGAGTTTGCAGTGTAAAGACATAGACAAAGACATAGGGACAGAGAAAGGTAACATTTGTTATTGTTGTTTTTCTGTAGCATTTGTGTCTAATGCAGTGGACTGTGTGCCCAATAAATGAGTCCTTTAAATTAATGATAGAAAGAGAAGTGGGGAAATGGGTTATAAGCAGTGATGTACTGGTAAATATTTAACAGTCAGCTCCTGGTGGGGAGGATTGTGCTCTGATTAGTGTTTGCCAATTTCCATGATGTAAATACTCTCCCTGTGGCTGATTTCAAGCTACCAACGTGACATCACTGAACACTGAGTTTGAAGGAGATGCCAGTACACCAGTGCCAGCTGCTCTGGTCCACTACTGGAAGGCATCTGCAATAGACCAAAGCCATAAGGCACCCATCACCCCTGGCCTTCTCACCTTGCCACACACAGGAATTGGTAACTGGGCCTTTTAAAAAAGCACTCGGTAATATATTAAATATTAAACATAGACTAGCTCAAAAGTGAGAATTTTTTTTTTTTGAGACAGAGTCTCGCTCTGTCGCCCAGGCTGGAGTGCAGTGGTGCTATCTCGGCTCACTGCAACCTCCACCTCCCGGGTTCAAGCGATTCTCGTGCCTCAGCCTCCTGAGTAGCTGGGATTACAGGCGCCGGCCACCACGCCTGGCTGATTTTTGTATTTTTAGTAGAGACAGGGTTTCGCCATGTTGGCCAGGCTGGTCTCGAACTCCTGGCCTCAAATGATCACCCACCTCAGCCTCCCAAAGTGGTAGGATTACAGGCGTGATCCACCATGCCCAGCCGAAAAATGAGATTTTTAATAAGCCTGGCTAGCTTTGTATTACACTATTTTGTGTTTCGTGTATGTTAAAAGCTCCCAAGTTGTGCCGTCCCCTGCAAAGAAAGCCCTGAATGCACAGAATTAGGCACATCTTGAGGACAGATAACCTTTGAGAGACCTTTCAGAGCCACTAAAGAAAGGCAAAGGAGAAACTGTAGTCTCGGAGAATGCTTAGTGTTCAGACTGAGCAGCAAAAAGGTGTTAAATAAGTAATTAACAGCTGGATTCTAAATAGCAGCTAAGAGTTAGAGGCCTGAGAACATGGCCTGAGGCCACCAGAAGGTGGGAGAGAGATAAACCAGCCTATATTTAGGAGTTAAACAGATGGCAGGATCAGGGCCCTACTTTGTATTTAGGAGGTTTGTGTGGTTTGTTTACTTGGGTTTTGTTTTTTGCTGTAACTAATTTAACAATTTAGGAGTGGAAAGAAAAATTAACCAATTTATCTTGCTGTCTGAATAATGTTTTGCAATAACCAAGAATAGGTCAGTGGACCAAGTGGGTAGGTCACTGCCCTGCTTAATGACCCATATCCGGATATTATTATGTCTAAATGATAATCAGCACTCATTTCTATGCACACAAAGAGAAGCTTGTGAGGAAGAAATAAAAAGCCTTTGCCTTTATTGTGTACAGTATATAGTGTAAACAGTAGGGGTCTAATACATGTTTGTTTCCATAAAGGCTTTTTCTAGCAGCTGTGATCAGCAAGGGGAAAGGACCTGCCTAAAGTCATCACACTGCTAATTGGGGTCGAGTTAGAACCCAAGTCTCTGGGCCCCGCTTGAGGCTGTTTACCTCTTCAGGACAGAAGGGACCAGCTGGATATAAGAGCTGAAGGAGAGAGACCAGACCAGAGCATCTATTCAGGTCACTCTTGTAAATCGCCGCTTTTTGATAGTTCCCTGTGACTGGCATCTGATTGAGAAAATGTGACAAGAAGCTACCTACTGCTTGCCCCTTAAACTAGCTGACAGTTTCCCATTCAAATTCCGATTGCAATTCAGAGACACTCTAGGCTAGGTGCAGTGGCTCACGCCTGTAATCCCAGTATTTTGGGAGGCGGAAGCAGGCAGATCATTTGAGTCTCAGGAGTCTGAGACCAGCCTGGGTAACACAGCAAAACCCCATCACTACAAACGATACAAAAAATTAGCCAGGCGTGGTGGCACGTACCTGTAATCCTAGCCACTTGGGAGGCTGAGGTGGGAGGATCACTTGAACCCAGGAGGTCGAGACTTCAGTGAGCTGTGATTGCGCCACTGCACTCCAGCCTGGGTAACAGAGTAAGATCCTCTCTCAAAACACACACACTCACACTCCAGATGCTTCTCTGCTGCTGTGTGTGCATTGGGTGGTACAGTGACAAGAGGGCTGGGGGAGGCAGGTATCACAGAAAGGACTCTGAGGGAAGTGAGTGGTGCACCCAGGGAAACTGAGGCTATGGGTGGTCCTCCCACATCCTCCCCACAGGCTAGCTGATGCCTCTGGCCTCTCAGTTGTTTTCATCTAAGGAAACTTATTTTGAAGCCATATTCATGGCAGCTGTAGTCCTGAGCATTCGCAGGACTTGTAGATAATTCACCTACGTGGTCTCGGGCAGTTATACCCTGTGATAATTTATAGCCACCCGTTCAGGCAGACAATTCCACATGAGCATTTGCTATCACTCTACTACCCTGACCCAAGCCTCGGTGTGACCCAAGCCTCGGTGTGACCCCTCTGCATGGCCTCTCCAAAAGAGATCCCTTCCCTGGGAGTTTGGGGAGCCTCTGACTCCCAGGAGAGTAGCAAAGCCAAGAAGGGGGAAATAAAAGACCACAAAAGAGCGGTGTGTTTTGAAGGAATGAATGTTTTCTACAGCCCATTTCCAAAGAACAGTCTAGAAATGCTTGCACACAAACAGTGTCATCAGAGTAGAGTAAGTGTGTGGTTTCCAAGCAGCCCCTACCACAAGCTCCCCGAGGCCTGTGCCTGCCAGGGAGCCCAACCTCAGCACCTAGTATCCAGCTCCCCAGGGAAACTGTTCTGAGCATTAGTCCTCCCTTCTCTGAGCCCAGAACGGCAGGCTGCAACTTCTAGGGTTGAATGGATGGCAGCTCAAGGAAACAGAATGGCTTTCTGGTTTTAAAACCTCAGAAAACCTAAAAACTTGATCTCTATTGCTTTACTTTAGGAAATTTTAGGCCCTTTCTCAGACGGCCTAAAATTAGACCTTCGCCACTCCCAACCAAAGCATGTCATGACATGGAAGAAGGTGGTCCCTGGCCTAATGACCCATTTCTGTAAAAATGAGGTAGGATGTGTAAACAGTGCAATAAGACTATGGAACAACAGACCGTGAGCCAGTGTCACCTTAAATGTAAACGTTAGAGATCTAGGCTTCTGAAGAAATGTTGGAAAGCCTATTAAACCACATAGGTTTGGGATTTTTCATTGTGTAGCAGACATATGGCTTAGTGTTTGATTTAAAAAATAGGAAGTTGGTGGCCATTTTCATGAATAGTTTGACAGCCAGTCAGAAGTGTGATTGTCGTTTTACCTAAACGCAACTGCTGTTGTTCGTAAGGTCAGAAACCTGCTCACAGGGGCGGGGGCGGGGAGGTCTGGTCTGTTGGCTGTTTGACCCATTTGGTTACGACCTCCATGCTTTGTCCTGAGTAGGCTGGTTCATGCTGGCAAGTCAATGCAGAAATATTGATCAGGTTCCTACTAATTGCAAGGATTGGGTTGAACGTTGCAGTAGGTAAGTAAAAGATGAGTGGGGCCATGACCTTATATAGGAACTGTCTGTTTCCTGGTCCACCAGAGCAACAACACAAGTAGTGGAACTGATCTCAAGGCAGGGAAAGGTTAGTGTCACAACAGAAGAACAGTGAGCTTTGGAGCCTCAAAGAAAGAGGGGCCATCTCCCTGTCCTTAAAAGAAATCTTCCTCCTTTTTACTACCATCGTAAGAGTTTACCTACTCCAGGCCCTGTGCATGCTAAGCGTTCACTCAGTTAAACCACCACACAATCTTAGGAACTGGATTATACTAATACCTTTTCAACATGTGGGAGCTGAGGCTCAGAAAGATTAACTTTAGATCAAGGTAACAACTGGTAAGGGGTACAGTCAGGATTCAGTCCTAGCTCAGCCAGACCCCACTGTCATGTGTGACCTTGCAGTGGGGCAGGGAGTGGCAGCAGGAGACTGAGTGGGAGCCCTTGGGTCTTTGGGATGGTTTCACCTTTGGAAGATCCAGGCCCCTCTTGCCATGAGAGCCCCATGAAGGGCTCATGGCCTGGAGCGGGTGGGAGGGCAGGAAGCCCAGCTGGGCACGGGGCAGCTGGAGGAGTGCCTTATTTGAGGCTGCTCTCGCATCATCTCATTAGGGATAATCATTTGTAGACTTGCTGCCACTGCAAACCATCGGCCCCGCTCAAATTTTCCCTGCAGCAGTGATGATGAAGTGATTCCTTAGCAGAACTGCTGGGTAACACAATTAATTCAGACTTGGGGTGGATGTTAGTGTGAATTAGGGGGTCTTCTGAATTATAAAACCTTTCAAAAGGAGCACAGGTTTATTGCTTCTGAACTTCACCAGGAATTGAAGCCAGACTGGCAAGGGGGCTCCCTGGACGAAGTCCTCTGTGTGTCCCTTGTAGGTCAGTGGTGCTTTTTCCTGCATTGGGGGGGCTTGAAGGTTGTTTCATAGCCATTTAGATATTCCCCTTGGAGTCTTGCTTGCAATTAATCTGTACTGTCTGTAAAAAGGGTTTGCCTAGCAAAGGTAAACTCCAGCACCCCGATCCACATTAATGAGTTTTGCCTGTGTAAACCACGTTAATTGTGGTTGTTGCTTTTTAATTGTCCTTAAGTTTCTTGTATGTTAACTGCTCCAGGCTAGAACTCTGGTTTCTGTTTCCGTTGGGGGCTCTATTCTCACTCCTACCCAAATAGCCTCGCCAATCTGCACTGAGATCTGCTCCCCTGCCCCCACCCTGTCTGGCATTAGTACTAAGAAGAGAATGAAGCTCAGAAAAACAGCCTCACTGGCCTAGATGAGGAGGCACAGGTATGTGGGGAAAACACGAGTGGAAGCCACAAGGTCTTCTGAGGGTCTGGAACTACCAGGTCAAGAGAAGAAAGACTTCAGATTGTCACTGTTGGATGTCTTAATATGAGGAAGGACTCAAACAGAGCTGTCCGCAGCTGCAACTGGCTGTCTTGAGAGGTGGTGACCTTTCTCGAGAAGGGTGGAAACTGTAGCCAGACAACTACTTGGTGAAGCAGCATACAGAGAGATCGCCCTTCTGATGATGCGCCCAGTCTGAGGCCTCACTGAGATGGCCTCAAGAGTGTGTCTTGAGCTGGTTAGAAACTTACCATCCTGGGCCCCACGACACACCTCTTGACCCAGACTGCATCTTAACAGGATCCTCAGCTAATGCATGCGATTGTTCACTTCCAGGGCCTCTGGTTCAGGACCAGGGTGCATGAGCATCACCTGGAGGAGATTTTTAATACAAATGCAGGGGCTGAGCTGCTGGCCTAGGACATAGAAGGACCATTCCCATACCTCACAGTCCAGCTGTCTCCCCATTCCCTCCCCCCTACATGCTGTTGTGTTTCCAAGTTCATGCCTGTGTGCACACCTGCACACAAGGGAATAGGAAAATGGCTTTGATGTATGGAATCATGTCTACAAGCTGCTTCAGTCAGGGGCCCTTCTTGCTGAGAGACCAGGCAGCTTTCCCAGGGAGCCCCAGGGCAGGGGCCTGAGGCACCTGCTTCCTGTTCTGTCCCCTGAGAGCTCCGCTTTGCCGGGAGAAAGGAGAAGCCTAAACAGGGTGGGCTGGGTCTGCGAGGCCTGCCTAAGGCTGCCCTCTGCCTTCCCAGCCCTTCAGTCCCTGATCCTTTCGGGCCCCTCCTAGGCCAGAATGTCCCAGATTAGATGGGGTGGGGAGGATGTCTTCTGGTTGCTGTAGGCCTGCATTAGGGGAGTATCCTCTCTGGTCCCACGTGGGGCAGGTGCCCAGAGCCAGGAATGAGCCGCCTGTGGTGATTCCTGTGTGTCTGGAGTCCAGGAGTCCCTTGCACTGTTGGCCAGTGGTCACTGTGCGGTGATTGACTGGGCTCAGTGTCTGTAGCTTTTGTCTGAGCCCCTTGCACCCCTCCCCGGGGATGATTGTCTGAGTTGGTGGATGTTAATCTGCAGCCCCTGAGAAGCTGCCTGGCAAATGGGAGGTTAATGTGCAAACAGCGGGGAGCATTGTCCATGTGTGAGGCTGGACAGCAAGTGGGAGGGAAATAGTTAAAAATCCTATTCATGGCTCAGGAGGGGAGGAGGGGTGGGCGCAGGAGCAGGCCCGGCCTTGTGCTAATCTTGCTGGAATGTAACTAGTTCGGGCAGTTTCTGGCTTCGATGTGCTTTGGGGCCGGTTGGCGTCCCCCCCGCCCCAACCCAGTACATCGATGGTGCGTCCGCGCGCCGAAGGCTGCTCTTTGTGTTCTCTGCAGCCACAGCTTAGAAGCGTCCGAGTCAGACCGCTTTCAGTTGTAAGGATGGGGAGGGAGGAAGCTCAGCGAGGCAGTTGTGTTATCCAAATCCACAGGCTCTTTCTCTGTTGGAGGATTTGGGTGGGGGAAGGGAATGGGCAGAAGAGAATGTTCAAGGAGAAAGACCCTAAACCTGTTGGGTCAGGCTGCTCAGCTGCCTAGAGGCCTGGGAATGCCTAGGGGGAAGCCCCTGCTTCCGGACACACAATCAATTACATATAACAGTGGGGCCTTGTGTGTGTAGGCGGGACACTGGGAGGGGTCGGCTCACAGCTCATGTTTTAATGCTTTACAAGGAGAGTGTGTTCATGCATTGCTTCTGCAACTTATAATCAATTTAAAACATTCTACATCTTGATCTAGGCTGGTGGTTACATTGATATTTACATATTGGGCCAGGTTTGGTGGCTCATGCCTGTAATTTGGGAGGCCGAGGTGGGTGGATCACCTGAGGTGTCAGGAGTTCGAGACCAGCCTGGCCAACATGGCGAAACCATCTCTAATAAAAATACAAAAATTAGCCGGGTGTGGTGGCGGGCATCTGTAATCCCAGCCACTCGGGAAGCTGAGGCAGGAGAATCACTTGAACCTGGGAAGCAGAGTTTGCACTGAGCTGAGATCGCACCATTGCACTCCAGCCTGGGTGACAGAGTGAGACTCTGTCTTAAAAAAAAAAAATTACATATTAAAAATTCACTAGAGCCTGGGCAACGTAGTGAGACCCCCATCTCTACAAAAGTTTTAAGAATTAGCTGGCTGTAGTGGCACATGCCTGTGGTCTCAGCTACTCGAGAGGCTGAATCAGGAAGATTGCTTGAGCCCAGGAGTTCGAGGCTACAGTGAGCTCTGATTGAGCCATTGCACCCCAGCCTGGGCAACAGAACAAAATCCTGTCTTAAAGATTCATTGAGCCGCACACGAGATTTGTGTACTTGCTTATGTATACATATTACACCTTAGTTTTAAATATTTTAAATTAATTTAAAAAAAGAAAAATCCCTCCTTCCTGACCTACCAAGGCCTTGGCTGTCCAGCACAGCTGCAGGGAGGAAGAACAGGTTCCCCGGCTTAGCTCCAGGGCATCCTCGGACTGCCCACTGGAGTGGGCGCTGAGCTCCCACACCGCTGTTTGGAAACAGAATGAAGTTGCACAGCAGCCAGATTCTGGGGCTTCCCCACCCAAGTTTGCCACTTTGCTCATGGGATTTGAAGAAAGCATCAAAGGCAGCAGCTTTAGAAAATAGCTCCAAGGGCCCCCCTTGGAGTGAGGTCACCTTCTCAGCTCACAGAGGGCTGTGGTGCCAGCTGCTGGCCACACATGCCCACGGGGCTGCTCTGGCCCTGCCTGACCCTGACTGGCTTCCCCTTGCATCCCCTGGGGAGCCCACGCCCACTGCACAGCATACCCACCAGGTGCTGCTGCCCTCCTGAACTCTGTGGGACACACTGCTGCCCACGTGGGGACTGCCCCGGAATCAGGACCCTGGATTTCTCCTCTGCTACCTGCCCCCTCCCGCCACGTAGTGAGGGTTCCACATTATGAATGTCATGGTTCCTTCCGGCTCTTGATTTTCCATGATTCGGGATCAGGAAATGATTTTCCTCTGAGTATTTTTAGGCCATGAGACTCAGTATAACAGTCAAATCCTGGCTCCACAACCCCTAGCTGTGTGGCCTTGGATAAATTAAAATCTCTCTAATCTTAGTTTCCTCATATGTGAAATGGGAATAACAACAATACTAAACTCAGTAGGGCTGATGAGGATTAAGTGGAAACCAGACTAATGTTGTATTCATTATCTGGGATAAAGGTTAGCCTGTATCATCATAATCAAAACCACACGACACAGTGTGCCTCACAGTCCAGTGAGCCAAATCCTTGCCTGTGCACACTGTACCCTTAGACCTGAGCAGGGGGGGCCTGCATTGGACCCTACTTTGGAGGGCCCTGCTCTGACCACCCTGACCACTTCCTTCCTGACCAGGCCAGGAATCCACGGAGCTGAGGATCCAAAGAATGGGATCCTGAGGCTTGAGAGCCTGCCTGACTCTTCCCTGGACGTGCACCAAGCCACTGGTGTGCACACCTATAGGTTGAGATAGGGGGCTCGCGTTTGCCTGGGGCTGAGCTTTGATGGGGGTGCTGAGATGTCTGGGATGTTTCCATGTGTGGTCCCAAGACCTCATAGGACAAGATGGAACTGGGAATGGTGGGGGTGCCAGATCAGGCTCTCTTACCACCACCGCATTCTGGTACAGAACCCAGGAGTCTGGGAATTCTAAATTCGAGCCTGGCCTTTTCGTAGCATTCATATTTGTCAAGGGAGGAGGAGAGAATGTATTTAACAGTTTGTCAGCTTGAGTTATAACTTTTACATGTGTAAGCGTATGGGCTTGCATCTATGTTCTTGTCCCAAACCCTGCAGATATTGGGGTTGGGGGGGCTGTCTGCATGCCCTTCCTTCCCCAGTGGGTGACCATCACTGACCCCTGAGACTTAAGACAAATTGTAGCCATGCCCGCCTCCGAAGGCGTCTTTAGGAAAACAGTGTCGTAGGTCCTTTCAGTTCAAAACCCTTGCTTATTTATTAACATGAATACGTTGGTTCTAGAATAGAGCCTTGCCCTGTGGAAATTGCCATCTGTACTCTTCGAGGTCTACCTCAGATCCCACCTCTTGGCCTAACTCTGTAATACCCCCACACTCGGTGACACCCCCACTCTATGACATTTACCATTTGGGACAGAAGCCCTGTCCTCCCTACCTATAGCTGAGGCCACCTCCCAAGACACATTGTCATTCTGTCCCCCACAGCACCACACACAGTGGCTGCGCATGGTGGATGCACAGTGAGTATTTGTGGAATGAGCGGCCGAGCCGCTGCAGACTGATGAGTGTTCTGGGGCCTGTGTTTGTTTTCTAAAACTGCTCTGTCAGTAAGCGCCCCGCCAATCCCCGTGTAAACATATTCAGATCCTAAAGAAGATCAGGCAGCCACCCTTTAAAAAGCCCGATAAACCCAACCTTCATTTGTATTATCTTTGGGCAGGGTTTGCTTGGGAATTCGTATCTGTAGGAAATCTTAGTGCTCGCTGCTGGGAGGCAAATTGTTCGCATTCATTTGTTCTTTCAGTGGTTTGGCCCTATAAAGCAGAGGGCTGGCCTGAGGGAAAATTGTGAAAGAATCTGAGTTTGTCTTTGGGGTAGAAATTAAACAGCTTCTCTAGGCCTTGCCCTCAAACTTCAGCCCTGTTTACTATTGAAGATTGTGTGTCTCAAGGGGTAAAGAGAGCCGTGGGATAATGGAGACTGAAAAAATGTTGCGATTTAGCCATTTTGTTTTCTTTTTTCCTTGGAGAATAATCTTTTGGGAAAAACTTGGATAGAGACCCTTTGAGCCATACAATTTTTTAAAGTTGAATTCAAGCCTCTAGTCATGGCTTGATTCATTTTTTTCTGAACAATGAACAAAGAAATGCTGGTAGAGAGCCTTGAAATGCGGGGATGTTGAATGAGGAAAGGAAAAAGGAGGGCCGTGAGTGTTCCTGAGCACTGGCTGGACCCTGCAGAAGCTTCCGATCATTCTGGAGGTCTCCAGAACTTGGTGGCTGGGACACCAGATACTGTGCATATGTGAGGGGAGGGCCTCTGAGAACTCCCAAGAGGCCCCCAGCAGCCTCCCCCACAACTGACCTTTCACAGTTGGCACTAAACTGCAGGCTTATCTCCTTTCTCCATTTCCAGGACTGCAAATTGCAGCACCTGGAACTAAGACATCCCTGGAGGGCAGGCCTTCCAAACTCGCCCCCATTGATTAAGGCAAACACTGCTTCATCCACAATGTTACAGTAACATCAGCAAGAAGAAATGATGATCATAGCTGATAGCTGTCAAGTGCTTACAGCGAACCAGATGCTTCTGGGTGCCCTTCTCTATTTAATCTTGGTATGGCAGTGTACGTTGGCAGGGGACTGGAATTTAAGCAAAAGA
This sequence comes from Homo sapiens, assembly GCF_000001405.40. NCBI lineage: Eukaryota > Metazoa > Chordata > Mammalia > Primates > Hominidae > Homo > Homo sapiens. The sequence goes on from NW_025791763.1 coordinate 186,494, forward strand.
AGAAATACTGATGTTTCCAATTCATCATTTAAAGAGACCTTGTACGTGGCCGGACGCAGTGGCTCATGTCTGTAATCCCAACATTTTGGGAGGTTGAGGCGGGCAGATTGCTTGAGCCCAGGAGTTCGAGACCAGCCTGGGCAACATAGTGAGACCTCGTCTCTACAATACAGGAAAAAAAAAATTAGCAGGGCATGGTGGTGCGTGCATGTAGTCCCAGCTACCCGGTGGGGACTGAGGTAGGAGGATTACTTGAGCCCTGGGAGGTCAAGGCTGCAGTGAGCCAAGATCGTGCCACTGCACTCCAACCCCGGTGACAGAGTGAGACCCTATCTCAAAAAAAAAAAACAGACAAATAGACCTTGTACGTGAGGCCTGGCCATTTGTTAACCCGTGTGAAAGATGTTTCGGTGGCCATTTAATGAACATATGTTGAATAATGTGCTGTACTGTGTACCACAGATACAAAGGGGAAAAAGATACAGAAGGAAAAAAGAAAACTCAGTATCACATACTCAGCCCCTTCTGATAGAACAGGTGTGTCCAAGCAGCAACATCCTAAAATAGTTGTCCTCCACTCTGGGATGTAAAAGAAGTTCTTCTGGGATTTGGTTTTATTACAATGACTGAGAATTTGCTCTCCCTCAGTTATCATATCTACTGTGACAGGCCTTGCACACGTCCTGTGAGATCCTACCTGCCAAGAACCTGTCTGCCATTTCTCATTAGTATCTTTGTGGTTTGCAGTCACCTGTGTAGAATTTGCACATATACTCAAGTGTTATTTGTTTTCAATTACTTCCTCAATTATTGCTGGTGTGTGTGTGTGTGTGTGTGTGTGTGTGTGTGTGTGTGTGTGTGTGTGGTATTTCATAGCCAAAGCTATAAAATGTATTTCCAATAATATTAGTAGAATTTTTTCAGCCCCTAAAACCCACCATAAAAGTTAACTATAATAACAAGGCCCGTAGGCCTGTACACAAGGGCATGGTTTCTATCGAAGTGTATTACACAGGCCAGACCTCTGGATTCTCCACCTCCAGTGGCTGCTGTTTAAAGCAGGCATTAAAAGGAAGATCATTTTCATGTTTGTGATTTGAAGCATGTGTGTGCTCACGAAGGATACCTCCCTGGACAATGCCTGGAAGAGGACTTTGTGAAGTGGAGACTGTACATGATTCCACCAGCAAGCATGTGTCTTGACAAAGGTTGTTAAGGACAAGAAGTTGTGCCTTAGCTGTAACCAAAACCCAGCCTAAGCAATCAGGTGAGTTGAAGTAGATGTTGTCAAAGCTAAAAAGAAGCCAAGCGTGGTGGCTCACACCTGTAATCCCAGCACTTTGGGAGGCTGAGGCAGTGGGATTCTTGAAGCCAGGAGTTTGAGACCAGCCTGGGCAACATAGCAAGATCCCATCTGTTAAAAAAAAAAATTAGCTGGGTGTGGTGATGTGTGCCTATAGTCCCAGCTACTCAAGAGGTTGAGGTGGGAGGATCGCATGAGCCCAGGAGGCCACAGTGAGCCATGTTCGTGCCACTGCACTCCAGCCTGGGCAACAGAGCAAGACAGCATCTCTTTTTTTGTTGTAAGACAAACAATCCCATAGCATTTATTGCCATCTTGTAATAACATAAGGGTAATCAAAACAATATGAATAAATGTTCATATTGGACAAAGGACAGCTAAAAACAAACTGTATCCTTCTCAACAATTTCTCACTTCATTGATCATTTCTAGCTGGAGACACTTTGTAGCAGAGGAATACCTCCTTTTAGCATGATCCGACCCAGTTGTTTTCTTGACTTTGTTTTAGAATGAATCTCTTCCGCATCATCTAATAACAAGGTTCGTATACTCATTAAAACCAATGATACAGCCTTCTGTCCGCATATTCACTTGCTCATAGAGCCACACCTGAATCTGCGATCTATTTTGTAAGTATCTGAAGATGAGGTTGATGGGCGCATCTTCACCTTCTGCACTTTCTGGCCCTGGCCATGGTATGCCATGGTGGAATTTCACAAAGAGCACACCCGCACGCTGCCTCTGAGAGCAACTTCCAGAATCAAGACACCGTCTCTTAAAAGAAAAAAAAAAAAACTAAAAAGAATAAGATGTAGGCTTAGGGCTTCCTCCCCTGAGGAATTCTTTTGGATCCCTCTGGCCTCTGACAAGCCAAGCAGAATATGGAGAAAGGAGTCTGTAGAGGCTGCTGTCAAGTCCAGGGTAAAAACACGAGCATTTCCAAGCATTTCATCAAGGACTTGTTAAAGATCCAGGTTTGAAGTCTCCAAGGAAGACTTTTTTTAAAGATGTTGCCCAAAGGAAAAGAGATCAAACCAGCAGAATGAATTCCCCATCATATACATGGGGGATACCCAGGAACTCACAGGGTCTCTCCGGAACTCTGAAAGCAATTAGAGAACAAGCATATGGGTTGTGGTCCCTAGAGTTGGAGCCTGATGCCATCCTCCAATAAGTTCTCCAGCAGATTCCCTTTGGAAGGCTACTCATGGACCCGGGAAGAAATGACACCCAAGAGCGGGGAACTAGAGGCTAACACAGGGTACTTGCTACTGCAGTGGCTTCAGATACCCTACCCCTACCCCAAACTTGGGCCAGGCCAGTGGCTATGGAACTCCAGAAAGAAGGGCCTCAGAGAGAGAGAGGGAGAAGGAGAGAGTGTCATCTACATCATGACAGTTGCACCTTTTCCATGTGCAACTGGGGAAAGCTGCGGTCCCTCAGCAGCCCTTTGCCTTCACTTGGGCCAATGACCAAAGGTACCCAGGGTGGTAGTCCAGTCACTGGCAAAAGCATGGCAGCCTTTTGGCAAAAGACTTGGGGGCATAAATAGTGAAACACTCAGAGAATGGAATGATTGGCTGGCTAGAAAATGGATGGAGGGTGTTGTTGGGAATAGGCAGTTGGAGATGGGAAGGGTAGGCCAGGGCTTTAATGCCCACTGAGCAGGCATCGGGAACCGCTGGAGCTTTTGTTGGGGGTAGGGTGGAGGGGGGGAAGTAATGCAATCACAGGAAGGGTGGGCTGGCCTGGGGAGGGGCTGCCGGCAGGAGGGCAGCTCAGAGTCTTTACAGAGGTCCAGGGCAGTGAGCAGCAGAGATGAAGGGGAACAATTGGAGAGACAGTCCAAGTTAGAATGACAAGACTTGGTCCCCTGTCAGTTGTAGAGAGTGAGGGAAAGAGAAGAGGCCAGAATGATCCCCAAGGTTTGTACAATACTCAGGGTGACCGCATGTCCTGGTTTACATCATCCATCATAATTGTTAAAGGTGTTCCCTTTCACTTTCAAAGGAGCCTTGGTTGATAGGATGTAGGAAACAGGATCAGGGCTGGATTTTGATGAGTCTGTGTGGGATTGAGCTGCCTGTAGCACGGTGTCAAGGAAGCACTTGGAGATGAGGAGGAAGGCTGGAGCCAGCTGCAGAGATGAGCGTGATCACCGCGTGGGTGCCAACCTGCAGGGGGAGGAGGAGACTACCCAGAGAACACCAGCTTTCGAGGCATAGGCCAAGGTTCTGAGGAGCGGCTGGAGGAGTAAGTGGAAAACCAGCCGAAAGGGTGCCCCAGAAGCTGAGGGGCCTCTTAGGAAAAAGACCTGGAAGATGACATTGGGTTTGGTAGTTAGGAGGTCAGCAGTGGCCTTAGCGAAAACAGGGCCAGTGACGTGGAAGGCAGGTGGCAGTGGGCCGAATGATTGGAGGGAGTGGAGGCATTGACAGTGGGGGTTTGACGGTTTTGTAAAGAGCTTGTAAGGGAGAGACGGCCTCAGCACAGGGCCCATCCAACTGTGGGTCTCCAGCCAATTGCACTGATTTTTCCTGCCCATTCTTCCTTCTTTGAAGGGAAAAATGGAAATTGAAGAGGAAGAAATCAATGACCCATTTGAACCATGACTTGGAGTTTAATTCAGCGTGTATCTGAGTGACTACGTGAGTACTCCTGACCTCCAGGAATGGATAGAATGGAATATGGAAAATCAAGGTGGATCAAATGAGAATTTGGCCAGTGGACTTACAAAAAAGTATTCAAATGGGCCACACCTACCCAGTCTGGTGCTGTGCATGCATCACAAATCCTCGGACATGAGATGGAGTTGTCACCTGGTCAGTGATTGGGTTTCAGAGTCTGGATAGGAACTGGGGGCTCAGGAAGGAAGTGGCAAAGATGTGGAATTTTCAGGTCATCATCAGGCCTGAACAAGACCTGATCACCACCCAGTCTCGGTCCTCAAACAGCTGCTTGTGAAAGTTAAGTTCTGTAACCAACTTCATGCACAGGCTATGCCTAGAATTGGTGTTCTACTAGGTCAGTCAGGAAGTGACAGGGGATTTGAGAAATGTTTTTAGAGCCTTTGTGCTCTGAAATGTACCCTCCTCCCTAACCCAACTAGCCTAGCCTGGATGCTTGAAATTCCATAAAGACCAAGCCCTGGATTTGATTGGAGAGTTGGGGGAATGTGTTGCAGCCCCTCTCCCAACCCAGAAAGAAGGCATGTAATGTGCTAACGCCGTTAGGAGTGTTTATGGCATATGGGTTATGATATTGAATTTGTCCAATAAACCATCAGGAAACTTGTGTGGGCATTTCCTGTCTCACTTTGTGATGGCTAATTTATGAGGGCTGCTGTCAGGTTATAGATTCTCCATTTTTACCAGAAACTTCCACCTTGAGCCTTATAATGGATCCACCGGAATGAAGATATGTATTCTAGGCAAGGATTTAGGTAGGGGAGAACCATGAACCTGGCACACAGTAGCACTAAACAGTGTTTAATGGGTAAGTGGGTGGATGCTTGCTCTGGGCTGTGAAAGAAGAGTGTAAAAGAGACAGGACCATAGATCCAGGAAGGTCATCTTTGAAAGAGAAGCCCAAACAATGGGTAGAAACTACAGAAAGTTATGGAGGGGTAGGTGTGAGCATTTGGGGACCACTCTGATCGCACATTAATATTACCTGGGAGCTTAAAAAAAAAAAAAGTAGATGCTTAAGCCCCACCCTGGAAGAGTTAAATCATAATGGGGAACGCAGACAGGAATCAGTGTTTTTAAAGCTCCTCCCAGCAGCCCTGGTGCCAGTGAGATCTGAGAACTAGCAGACTGGGTTGTCTCCTCTGGTTGAATTGGCGCCCAGACCTTCCCCCAGAGGGGAATCCCTCTGGAAGGGAAAGAGTGGAGGAGAGTGTCCAGGGCGGGGCTGTAGAGTGGACCCTTCCTCAGCCAAGGAAGGACTCGTGCAGCTGGCAGTCACAGCACTTACTGGCCCCAGCGTATGTTGCCCAGGAACCATTGAAGGCTTCCAAACGGCTGAGGTCACATTTTTCCAGGCCCTAATGGGAACGGTTGGGAAGGTTGTCAGGGGCAAGACCCCATTCAAAATAAAACAGCACTCAGAAGTTCAGAAATGAGAGGCTGAAGATTTGAATATAGACTTTACTGGGTTTTTTTTTTTTGAGTGTTTTTATATATTTAATTTTTTTAATTAAAAAGTGATTCCCATTGCATATATTTGCATTTACCTTTTAAAATCAATGTATGTTTAGCCAAAAGAATAAAATAAAAACACCCATAATCTTGTCTCCCAGAGAGATTAAGTTCAACTCACCTCTTAGTGTATATTCTTCCAGATTTCTCAACACATACATAAAGATACCTGTTTTACAAAATTACAAGTAAAAGTAGGATTCAATACATGTTTTTTCTTTTTTTAAGCACTCCCCATTACACAGGTGGAAATACATGTTTCGTATCTTGCTTTTTCACTTAACAGTGTAAACACCTTTCTGTTTCTGTAAATAACCACCTACTACATAAATTCAGATATCATAATTGCAGCATAAGGCATTTAATATCTTTCAGCTATTATAAACAGCTCTTCAGTGAACATCCTTGCAGCTATATTTTGCTTGCATCCTTAATTATTTCCTTAGGATGCATTCCTAGAGACAGTAAGCCTTCAGAAGACTTGATACATACTTCCAAATTGCACAAGACAGGATTTACTAATTTACTTTCCCACCACCAGGGTATTAAAAAGTGCCTGTGGTAATTAAAGGGGGAAAAGGCCACTGCCAACATGAGAGACTAAAAGTAGTTAACTCATTACTGAGTTCATAACTTCTTTATCTCAAATTCTGCAAACAAATGGGAGTGGAACCCAGAGATTTTCCTTGACGGCTTGATGCCCAGCCCAGGAGGATCTTTGTTGTCTGGCCCACCAGGTCACCGGCTCCTGGGGTTTTCAGTGCAGCAGGTATCCTTGTCCAGGGCCTTTGTTTCCCGCTGGTCATTGGTCCAGCATGCTTCCGGTGGGGACTTGGGAACCACCAGGGGGCAGTGTGGAGCTGTTGAGCATGCTCTGCATGCCTTACGGCTTATCCATATTGAAACTTTCAATAATACAAGTATTCTTTTGTTGTGTTTTATGACTTCTCAGATTGGTATTTATAATATTGATTTGCTTACATTAGTATTTCATCCCCTTCCAATTATTTTTATGTTTATGTGTTGTAAAAAAAATAACCTGATCCATCATAGCTGTTCTGTAGCTGGCGGCCAGGACACCTGGGTTGTTCTGATCCCAGCTCTGCCAGTGTCCTCCGTGACCTTGGTGGGACAGCTCACCCCATGGGCCTGACTGCCCTTATCTGAGGAGTGCCAGGATGGGCTGCAGGAGTGGTATGTTTTCTTCTCTTCCAGCACTAGCATAATGAAAGGATTGAGAGTTGGCCTTGGCCAGGTGTGGTGGCTCATGCCTGTAATCCCACCACTTTGGGAGGCCGAGGCGGGCGGATCACTTGAGGTCAGGAGTTCAAGACCAGCCTGGCTAACGTGGTGAAACCCTGTCTCTACAAAAATACAAAAATTAGCTGGGTGTGCACCTGTATTCCAGCTACTTGGGAGGCTGAGGTGGAAGAATCACTTGAACCCGGGAGGCGGAGGTTGCAGTGAACCAAGATTGTGCCACTGCACTCCAGCCTGGGCAACAGAGCGAGGCTCTGTCTCAAAAAAAAAAAAAAAAAAAAAAAGAGTTGGCCTTTGGGGCTGGGCATGGTGGCTCACACCTGTAATCTCAGCACTTTGGGAGGCCGAGGCAGGTGGATCACTTGAGGTCAGGAGTTCAAGACCAACCTGGCCAACATGGTGAACCCCTGTCTTTACTAAAAATACAAAAATTAGCTGGTGTGGTGGCGCACACCTGTAATCCTAGTTACTCAGGAGGCTGAGGCAGGAAAATCACTTGAGCCCAGGAGGCGGAGGTTGCAGTGAGCCAAGATCGCACCATTGCACTCCAACCTGGGCGACAGAGGAAAGACTCTGTCTCAAAAAAAAAAAAAAAAAAGAGTTGGCTTTTGGGTTTGGGATAGACTGGGGCAAGTTAGTTAACCTCTTTGTACCTTAATCCCTCCATCTGTTAAATGAGGATAATAATAGCATCAACTTATAAGGCTGTGGGGGTTAAACGAAATAACACATGGAGTATCTGGCACAAGGTAACGCATCACTAAATGTTTTCTTTAAAGAAATCTGTTTATCCAAGATTTATGCAGACAGTTTCCTGTCCCTGGCTTTGGCACATACTTATTTGCTTATCTGAAATGATATTAATATCAAACAGAGTATGAATTTCAGAAGTGCTGTATTCCACAGTGGGGCTGAACAGAAGAATCCCAGCATCAAGGCCCCCAGCTACAAAAGATTAGAATGTTTTTGTTTGTTTTTTAATAATGTATTAACTGTAGGGGAAAATATAAAAATAGAAGCAGATATGATATTGGTAAATGTTTTTTATTTGATCACTTTAGGTAAATGGAGTCTTACTCACCTGATAGGGTCCCCAGTGGCAGCGGACTTTCCCATTCCCTCTATCCATCATTCTCCCAAAAGGTGATGGTTTCTCTGTTCTCACCCTAGGTCAGCTAAATTAGGGTCTGTGGCAACAACCCCAGGAGTGTGACCGCTAATTGCCTTTGCAGACAACATTTCCACTAGAGCTGCCTGGGAGGCAGCACCTCCAGAGAGAAGGACTTGCACCTCTAATTTGGTTAATCCTAGAACACCCTGCAATAGTCATCAAGCACCTCTCACAAATGATATGCTGTGCTTAAGGCCGTGGGGACCCAAAGGGCGAATAAGATTGGATGCCTTTTTTTTTTTTTTTTTTTGAGACGGAGTCTCGCTCACGTCACCCAGGCTGGAGTGCAGTGGCACGATTTCGGTTCACTGCAACCTCTGCCTCGTGAGTAGCTGGGATTACAGGCGCCCGCCACCATGCCCGGCTAGTTTTTGTACTTTTCATAGAGACGGGGTTTCACCATGTTGGCCAGGCTGGTGTCGAACTCCTGACCTCAGGTGACCCACCCTCCTCGGTTTCCCAAAGTGCTGGGATTACAGGCGTCAGCCACCGTGCCCAGCCTGGATGCCTTTCTGAAGCGGCAGGTTAAAAAAAAAAAAAAAAAGATTGGATGCCTATCCCCAAAGAGCTTAGGGGAAGCTAAGCGAGGAAATGAGCCTGGCTGTGAGCTGGAAAGTCAGCGGGCAGCAGGGTGTGTGACCGACCTGGAGGAACGAGTGTGGGGCAAGGTGAATGTTAGGGAGCCATTGCAAGACAGTGGTAGTTGAGATTGAAAAAACACAGGACTTGATGGGCTAGATGACAAAGTGAGGAAGAAGGTGGAGGAAAAGATGTCTGAGGTTTTGACCCTGCAGGTACATGAGAAGAGAGAGATGGTAGATCTCGGTGAGAAGCAATTTGGGAAGACAATAGTGGTGTGTCCTGGGATGCTCTGACCTTTGAGTCTGTGTGCAGAACCTCTTTCTCCAATTCCTAGGGGTGCCCTCATCCACAACTGGCAGTAGCCCCTGGATGGCCACAAACATGCAGTCCTACAACCATATTCCCTGGATGTCACTTCCTCACATAATCTTTGCCACATACCACCTATACTATTTACATAATTATTTTTCTTTGAATTGATTCACTTTTTTCCACTTTTTAAAAATGGAGCTTCACTGTAAGCAACAGTATCCAAGATATCAAACTTTGCCTGTAACATGCATGTGTAATTGTGTATACGTATATACATGTGTATACACATACATAAAAAATACACATACATATGTATTTATAATTTTGTTTGTTTGGCTATATATACATTTTTGTTTTGTTGTGTTTTGTAGAGACAGGGTTTCACCATGTTGCCCAGGCTACTGTTGAACTCCTGGGCTCAGGTGAGCCTCCCAAAGTGCTGGGCTTACAGGCGTGAGCCACCACACCCAGCCAAAAATACTGGCTTAAATACTTAAATATTTTAAATACTTAAATATTTTAAGGCCGATTAATGTAAATATTTTAGGTACTAAAAAATAGGAGGTGTTGTTTAATAGTATTGAGATGGGAACTTCTCAGCCCTTCCACTGTCCGTCATAACTTCCTGCACCCTCCCTTCAATATGGACATAAAATCGTGTTGTTCCCTGAGATATGTAAGCCACATGTGCACCCACATTTGCATACACACTAGTGTAGGGTGCAGGACCCCTTCTTCAGGCTCCTTTATCAGGAGCAATGGCCCTGTATAGAGGTGGCTGGTGTGACCCTTATTCTCCTGTGTTCTTGTTCACCTGTGGGGTCGGAGAGCTCTCCTGGAACTGCCCGTCTATGGAGAGGCCTCCTCAGACATTTCCCATCTCCCGGTGCCCAGGAGTTGTTGACTTTGGCCAGCTGCTGGGCCTGCAGGAGCCGCGGGGAAGGGTTCTAAGAGACCCTTGAAGCTCTGTGGCTGGAAGGCAGCTCCAGGCTGCCTGGCTGTTCTTTTGTGTTGAGTATTTCACTGGCCCCAGATAAGCGCTTCCTGTTCCTCACTGATTATACACAGATCCTGCTTCCTTTCTCCTCAATACCTGGGATGCTTTCCAGCTTCTCCTCCCATAGGGGAAAGTCCGTAAACTTTAGAATTCTCAGGCCTGCTTTTGGTCAATGGACTTTCTGCAAATTATGACTGTTTTTGCCATCTAGTCACATTCTTGGTGAAGCCTTCACCTCTGTCTAGGAGCTGAGTTCCGCTTTGTGCCAGCCAGGAGAGATGCTTCTATGACCTGGTTTCTGCCCCTCCTTCTCACCAGACAGAACATCTGTATCTACCTCCTGGCGTAAATCAGAGAGAATAAATAGATTGCACCTTACAGGTCAGTTTTAATCAACTGTTAGTAGCTGCCTCAGTGTTGAGGATTCTGAGGTCTTACCCACCTTTAGCAAGAAAGAGTGCCATGGTCTACTAGCAGTGTCTGCCACAAGCACGGAGGGATGGGACTGCTCCTGTGCCCCATATTTGCTATCCCAAGATTCCGAGATCAGTTGGAAGTTTCTTTATTTTTTATTTAGAGACAGAGTCTCACTCTGTCACCCAGGCTGGAGTGCAGTGGCGCAATCACAGCTCACTGCAGCCTCGAGCTCGAGGGCTGAGTCGATCCTCCCAGCTCAGCCTCTCGGGTAGCTGGGACTACAAGCGTGCGCCACCACACCTGGCTAATTTTTTTTGTATTTTTGTAGAGACGGGGTCTCATCTAACTTTGTTTCCCAGGCTGGTCTTGAACTCCTGGGCTCAAGTGATCCACCTGCCTCAGCCTCCCAAAATGCTGCGATTACAAGTGTGAGTCCCATTCCCAACCACAAGTTTCTAGAAGGCAGAAATCATGTCCTTGTACCCTTAGAGTTACAACATAAACGCCCAAAGTCCTATATTCTAGTGCCAGTGTCGAGGAAATCCAACAGCCTCCAGCAGGCTCAATTTCCTTTGTTTTTTTGATTCAGAGTCTCCCTCTGTCACCCAGGCTGGAGTTCAATGGTGCGATCTCAGCTCACTGCAACTTCTGCCTCCCAGATTCAAGCAGTTCTCCTGCCTCAGCCTCCCAAGTAGCTAGGATTACAGGCACCCGCCACCACACCCGGCTAATTTTTGTGTTTTTAGTAGAGACGTGGTTTTGCCATATTGGCCATGCTGGTCTTGAGCTCCTGACCTCGTGATCCTCCTGCCTCGGCCTCCGAAAGTGCTGGGATTACAGGCATAAGCTACCGCGCCCGGCCCAGTTTCCCATTTTTTAAATGAACATAATAATATCTGCTTTACCTATATCCAGGAGTCAGTAATATCAAATCAGATAATTCATATGGAATGCTTTAAAAAGTAAAACAACTGTAGAAGTATATCCTGCCTGCAGGACCCAGCACAGATGCCACCTCCTCTATGAAGTTTTCAGTTGTAACACGATAATTCTTGCCCATTGCCATCCCTGTCTTATCTGAACCTGTCATTTATAGGCTTATAGTCTAGTTATTTATGTACTTTAAAAATCTCTCCTGTGGTATATCATGCATATAAACAGCCACCTTTTATATGAGATACTCACTAAACTTTGATGGAGGGCTCTGTACAGAGCTGTCACTGCATCTTGATCATCTGGTAGGCAGTCCTGTAAGAATGAGTAGCCTCCTGCTAGCTTTAAACAGCACAGTTTTATGTTTTAGAAAGATATTTCTAGAGGTAAGTGAAGGGTAGACTGGAAGAGATGAACTGAGAACAGGAGCACTGATGACTCAATGGAGAGAGGATTTGGGATCCCTTCATTTCTGTCAACTACCCTATTCTTGGACAACAGACATTTTGTCAATGTGAGGCAAAGCAACCTGCCGATGTGGTTTGCAGCCCACTACCACCCCTTTCAAACCGGGTTGCCCCCCACCCCCGCTGCCTTCCTCCTGGGTGAGAACCTGCAGGAGCTCAAGCAAACCCAGAAGGCTGCTGCAGGGGCTCCTCCTCGGAATAGGGTTCAAAAAATGTCCAGAAGCCATATAATTGGGTGGCCCAGAGCAGGTTAGGGAGGTAACTAAAGTCATTAAAGTGGATTTTGAGGTTTCTGGTTAGGTACACTGAAGGCACAGGATTGAAAATAATTCATCTGGGGTTACTTTTAATAGCTTTGCTTACTGTTGCTATGATATAAGACATACTGATTGTAAAAATTTCAAGTGAAGAAGAAAAATATGAAAAAGGAACTAATAAAATTGCCTGAAATGTTAAAAATCCAGCGATAACATTTGGGTGACTATGCTTCCAGATTATTTAATTGGCTTTTCTCACTGAACAGTTTGTCCAGCACACTTTATTCAGGTCAATAAATGTGGATGACCGGGCGTGGTAGCTCAAAGCTATAATCCCAAGCACTTTGGGAGGCTAAGGCGAAAGGATCACTTAAGGCCAAGAGTTTCAGACCAGCCTGGGCAACATAGTGAGACCCTGTCTCTACCAAAAAAAAAAAAAATTAGCCGGGTGGTGTGGTGCTTGCCTGTAGTCCCAGCTATGCAGGAGGCTGATGTGGGAGGATTGCTTGATTCCATGAAGTCAAGGCTGCAGTGAGCTACAGTCGTGCCACTGCACTCCAGCCTGGCTGACAGGGCAAGACCCTATCAATCAATCCATTAACCAGTATATCAATCAATCAATCAATAAAAAAATCACCCAAAAGGCATGCAGAACCTGCAGCCACAGGGCAGGAGCGGGGAGAGGCTTCCCCAGAGCTGCCCATGTCATGTGGCAGTTCAAAAGCCAGTTGCCTTTATTTTCTTCCTAAAGTCATCCATGGCCTTGCAAAGACAGGAGAGTGTCTACAGAGACAGTGGAGGGAGTGGAACAGAAGCCAGCCTTCTGGGGGCTGAGAAGTACCTGGGAGGCGGGGAGGGCATGTAAGCAGCCTGTGTACATGCGGGGAAGGGAAAGGGGGAGAACCAGAAGGGGCAGCTGCCCACCAGCAGCTTCCTGGGCTCTCCTCCCACCTCCTCCTCACTCACAACAGCGCACAGACTCAGCCTCAGCTCCTTCTCTCTGGCCTCTTCCACCTGAGTGAAGATCAAGTGCAGGAGAGGTTGCACAGGCTGTGCCAGCTGCAAGGAACCCACAGACCCCTCCTGTGTTTCACCTGCAGTGACTCCATATTCGTCCTCCCCCATCCCCGCCATCCAGCAGATTATGTGCCCCACTTCCTCTGTGCCACACACATCTTTTTTCCCTCCTTCAAATCATCACCCATACAGAGGACAATTCGCAGCCTCACTCATTATAAGAGTAATGGAAACTCCAGTGAGGGACTTTTTTACCTGTCAGTTTGGCAAAGTTTAAACAGTTTGATAACCTTGTATGGGCAAGGGTGTGGGGAAATAAGCCCTCTCCCAGGTTGCTGTTAGCAGTGTCAACTGGGAGAAATTTAATAACACTCCTCAGAACTTAAGTGTGCATATCTTTGACCTAGTGATTCCCCTCACAGCTGGAAATGTGTCCTCCCACTATAGACATACATGGGCGACACGGTGAGTGTTCAAGGGTGTTCACTGCAGCAGAAGCCTGGGAAACACCTCCATGTCTGTGAGCATGGGCCCCTTGAGTCGGTTATGGCACCTCCTGTAACCCAGGAGGAGGCAGCTCTGTGGGGATGGCTATGGGACCAGCCCTACTATGCCGGCGAATGGAGTGGGGGCAGAGTGGCGTGGGTGGGTATGGGCAGGCCAGAGAACAGGCTGCAGGCTGTGAAGGAGAAAGGCATTTGCTCTTTCAGCCCAGTCTGAGCTCCTGGTCAGAGGCCAGCAGGTGGACTCTGCATCCTGTGGGGGCCAGGGCAGATGTTCTCACCTGAGGGCCTGAGGGGAGGGAAGCGTGTCAGTAGATTCCCAGGCACACAGCGACAGGGGAGAGACAGAGGGAGGGGCCCAGCAGGGTTCACCTCAGGGAAAGGAGGACTGGGCCTCCAAAGCCAGTTTCCACGAAGACACTTCCTGCAGCACATTGGTGGCTGGGCAGTGAGCATAGACACTGCACAGACACTGCCCAGGCCCAGCAAACCCAAGGTCACAGCCGATGGGAGAGGCAGCTTGCGACTCAGCAGGCCCAGCGCTCCAGGCTGCAGAAATGCGGACTCGAAAGCAAGTTGAACTTTGACATTGTTTGAAAGCCTAGGGCTCTGTCCCGGGGTCCCCCTGGTCAGGGCCACCACAGAATGGCTGTGCCTAGTGCTCTGGGAGCAGAGTTTTCCCTCCTCCAGAGCATGCAGCTGTCGGGGGACATACCTAGCCAAGTGTCCGGCTCTCCATCAAGACCTCAAGCAGGCCCACGTCAGCTGAGAACCATGTGTGTCTCAGCTTTCCAGCCATCCCAGCAAGTCAGGACACATCTGAGACCACCCCTCCAACCCAGCTCTTGCCCACGGTCATTGGTGTGCCTGAGCCAGCTGGCACCCAGCCAATTGGTAGCATCTCTTCCGCGCTGAGCCTTCAGTGACTCATCGTGGTACCTTGAAATCAGCGGGAGTGTTTACACCATGAATACCAGCAAATGCTTTGGTTTTTCACTTTGTTTTTTGCTTAGAGAGCCAGTTGTTAGGCATTTACCAACACACCACCGAACCAGACCTGTCTCCCCAGGTAAAGCGCAGGTCACAGGCTCCTAGAATACCAATAACTTACACATTTAGTGACTGAACACAGATTTCTTACAAGCTCCCCGCATGCCCCACACTCTGCCTGGTCCTCTCCAGTGTGAGAGGACACTCACACTTGAGTGTGACAGCCACACGTGAGATAATCACTCTGCCAGGCAGTAGGTGTTCTTATTCCTATTTTACATGTGGAAACCAGAGGTTCTGAAAGGTGATGTACACAGGCACACAGCTTGTAAGTGGGGTTCAGCTAGGACCCCTGATTCCGTATTTGTTGAACACCTCAACACGGTCGGCACTCCCAGTGCCCTCTGTGTTTAGACAAACAGCTGAATTTGATTTTTCCTTCCAAAGGAGACCATCTAGTCCAGGCCCCTGCTTCAGGCTGATGAAGTAAAATATTCCCATTTTAAAGATGAGACGATGGAGTCCAGAAAGGTTAGAAAGAGCCTGGAACCCTGATCTCTTGCCTCCTGTGCTCTAAAACGAAAGCTTGGCTTCTGCGGGGGAGCCAGTTTTTAAAAACAAACC
The DNA here is from genome assembly GCF_000001405.40 of Homo sapiens. Classification (NCBI taxonomy): domain Eukaryota; kingdom Metazoa; phylum Chordata; class Mammalia; order Primates; family Hominidae; genus Homo; species Homo sapiens. The sequence continues at coordinate 201,526 of NW_025791763.1, forward strand.
TTAGGTCAAATCTAGGAGGCAAAATTGCCAGGTTCTTTGGAATGCGAGGGGAAGAGAATAGTTTTGAGATCATCCACAAAAGAAAGAATCATTTGGGGAAAGCAGAGGAAAGAGGTGTTTATGGTGAAACTGACACCTAATTGACACACTCTTACTTTTGAGTTTACTATTCAGTTATGAAATGCTTTTGGAGCCCCTCTGCTACCAGTGCATGGGCTTTAAAGCCATTTGTTGACTAAATGCTGTGACAGGTGCTAGAGAGAGCAAAGTCACTTCATTGGTTTAAGACCAGTGTAGGCCAGGTGCGGTGGCTCACCCCTGTAATGCCAGCAGAATTGGGAGGTGAAGGCGGGCAGATCACTTGAGCTCAGGAGTTCGAGACCAGCCAGGGCAACATGGTGAAATCCTGTCTCTACCAAAACTACAATAAATTAGCCAGGCATGGTGGCACATGCCTGTGGTCCCAGCTACTTGAGAGGCTGAGATGGGAGGATTGCCTGAGCCCAGGAGGTGGAGGTTGCAGTGATCTATGATTGCGCCACTGCACTCCAGCCTGGACGACAGAGTGAGACTCCATCTCAAAAAAAAAAAAAAAAAATACCTCAAGAAAGAATCTAACCTACCCTCAGGTAAAACAAAAAATGTGTTTGGGATTTAGTGCCATCCACAAAGTTAAGCAAAGGCATAAATGACTCATTCTTAAGAAAGAAGGGATAAGAGTGTAAAACTTCTTTTATACTTTTGCCCCTGGAACTCTTTGTCTAATCCATCTTGTTTGGGAACAAGTTCTTTACACTTTCGTTTTCTCTTACCGACTGCTGAAAACTAAAAATGTTTTCCCAATTGGGAAAGCTTTTCTGTCTCCCTATTCCTGAGTTCATTGCTCAGTGTCAGTGTATTTTCAAACTTAGATCCATTTGTGAACTTTAGTACAGAAGATAGAAACAGGTCTCCAAGAACTGGCCAAGTTGGGCATCCCAGCCTCCATGCTACATTTACGTATTCTCGGCAGACTAAGCCAGTTACTGTGAGAAGCAGGCGTTGCCCATGAGTGAAATGGGCTCCTGTGTGGCGGCTTCCCACCACAGTGACAATGACATTATTCAAAATGCTCTCCTTGTCCTCTTAGAAGCTCTATGTAACAGGAACCTATACTATAACCGTATTATAAATGAAAAATGTGAAGAAGCGATCCGTGTCTCCCCGTCTCCATTCTGCCACAGTTGCAGTCGTTTCTTTCCTGGACTACGGCAAATCCTACCAGAGTCAGCCTTCTAAACACCAGTCACATCTCTCCCCTGCTCTAAAGGCTTCAGGCAGAGGCTGTTCAACCCCTCGTTACAGATGTGGAAACTGGGCCTAAGCTCACGGCATTAATACAGCATGGGACAGGGTTTCAACACATCATGATTGCCGGGTTCTGGGTGAGGAATTGAGGTGCAGCATGACCCTTGAGGAGCTTACCGTCCCAAGGGCAGACAGAGTGTGCAAATGGGGAGGAGTAGCCTGGTGAGTGCTATGGAAACACCGTGTACCGCTTCTCGAGAGCGACAGACTCATGGAGGCTTCATGCCAGGGAGGGTGACCTTGGGAGGAAATGGGTTTTGAAGAAGAGGGGTTAAAGTTTCCCACGAGTGAAGGATGCAGTAAAGGCCGTAGCAGGCCGGGGAGCAGCAGGGCAGCATGGTGCGTTCAGAGTGCAGTGAGGACTCTGTGCAGCTGGGGTGGGGGGCGGTGAGGGTGGAAGCCAGAAGGATAGGGTGGTGTGGGATTGCTGGTGAGTTTGGGGGCTTTATCTCTTGACCCCAGAAACCAACCAGGGAAGTGTTCTGAGCAGGGGAGAGATGTGACTGGTGTTTAGAAGGCTGACTCTGGTAGGATTTGCAGTAGTCCAGGCAAGAAACGACTGCAACTGTGGCAGAATGGAGACGGGGAGACACGGATCGCTTCTTCACATTTTTCATTTATAGTACGGTTATAGTATAGGTTCCTGTTACATAGAGTTTCTAAGAGGACAAGGAGAGCATTTTGAATAATGTTATTGTCACTGTGGTGGGAAGCCACCTGCACCCGGAGTTTGGGTGTAGCCTTGGGTTCTGGGTGGCACTGGGACTTTACATCTCCCGAAAAGCCTGGGCAACCCTTGCTTCTCTATCAAAGGGGATCCTGGCTCTAGGTCCCCAAAGTCACTGTTTACCATAGGGGTCCAGAGAGGCAGGAAGGACCGGTCACCAAAACTGGGACCCTTTGTGTCTGCTGATGGGCAAGTGGCCAAAAATGGGCGAGACCATGGGGCTGGAGCAAGGGGCGCTTTCTCTGCCTACTGGGCCTTTCCTCTAGAAGCAGCGGAAGGCGTTCTCTGGGCTGGAGTTTTCTCACCTGTGCAGTTTTTGGAGCTGACTTGTTTTCCTTGCATGCAACTGTGGGGAGCTGTGGATTCTGTAACATGAAGCTTTGTTTCCTCTGTTGCCCAGGCCCTGCTTAAAGGCTTTTCTGTGAGAACGTGCGAACAGGGAGAATGTGGGCATTCCCCCGAGCCCTGTAGAGTCCTGTCCACACTAAGCAAGTGTGGGACAGGGTGAGGACGGCTGGGGCGGGGCCCTCCCTACCTTCTGGGAGCCGGAGGGTTAATCTCCGTAGCTCATTGGCAGTCCTGCCTCTGTACAGGGCATGCTGGGATTTCCTCCCAGCTGTTTTACATCACGAAGATTTGTGTGTTGGGGAAATTCCAGGGCACAGCTGCAATTAATCTGCTCCATGGCTCCAATCAAAGCAAGGATTCTGTAGGATGGATTCTCCGCCTTCCTGCAGGAAAGGGGGCTCTAGCTCTCTAGTGACAGCATCCTTCAGAGGGACCCTTCCCGAGATCCACGTTGAGCAGAAACAGCCCGCCTGGCCAAGTGCTCGCCCCAAGGAGGGCTCTAAGGAGGGGCCCAAAACATTGAGAAAGAGAGGAGCAGAGCCCCTCTGAATAATAAAGCCACAAGGACACTGATGGCAACACTCGATAAAGATGTCACCCAAAGAAAAGAAAACTTTGTTCACCTTTACTTAGGAATGTAAAAGTCAAAAATTTAAAACATGACTAGCATTCCACAATACAGCGTAAGAAGGAACAAACCACCATGACCAAATAGGGCTTACCTGGGAAATGCAAAAATGCCTTCATGTAAGAAAATCTATTGCTATATATACATCTCATAAATGAGTCAAATAAGAGAAACCACATGACCATTTTGGTAAATGCCGAGAGAAAAATGCAACAACTGCTCCAATGAAAACAATGTAAAAATAGGATTAGAATCATCCTTCCTTAATGAGGTAAAGACATGTTTTAAACCACAGCCTCAGTCTACTTAACTGTGAACCACAGTAGCAGAACCCCAGTCCCCAGAAAAGTGTTTCTCAGATTCAGTGAGATTGGAAAACTGTGTATCTGTCCTGTCTTAGATAGTCACAACATATGTAAATCGAAGACAGTAGTACCTGCCGTTTGGGTTTGGTGTTTTCCTTTCTATTTTTGAGCATCCAAAAGCGGGTATTTAACCCATAGAAAGCACCCCAGAAGTGGGAGCGATCGCTATTGCCAGGCCATCAGTTGCATTGATGCCATTCATCACCATTTCAATGTGTTACATTCCGGTGGGCATCCCCCAGGAGGGAGGTGGCTGGACCAGCCCGTGTACACATCTTCGCTGTGGGCTGAAGCCCAGCCACGACACACTGGTCAGGAGCTGGGCCTTGCAGAGCCAGTTAAATGTAGCCTAGACTGGGCATGGAGAAACCAGCAGTTTTAACCTGCCCACATACCATTACCATGCAAAGAATCTAAGCACAGTCAGCCATCACTTACTTCCCCAAGGACATGCTCCCACCCATGAGTGATTGCCCTCAGGGTGATCGTGGGGTTGGCCTTACAGCTAAGAAGAGCTTTATTGGCTGGGCATGGTGGCTCACACCTGTAATCCCAGCACTTTGCGAGAGCAAGGCGGGAGGATTGCTTGAGCCCAGGCGTTGAAGACGAGCCTGGGCAACGTAGCAAGACCCCCATCTCTAAAAATAAAAAATAAAAATAAATAAATAAACAGAAGCACTTTATTTCCACTCTAGTTGGGCTAGGCCTGATGCTAGGAATTCAGAACTACCTGGCCATCTTCAAATGTCTAGTACTGCAGTGGAAGAGGATTACAAGGGTTGTCACTGGCTCCTGCTGCCCCAATTCACGGTTCTGGGAAGTTCAACTGTCCTTTCCTCAGAGTTGTGATGCAGAGGCCGTCCATGGCCAAGCTGTAGGGGCTCCAAAGTCTTAGAGCTCTTCCTCCTCCCCCCGTCACTCATCTCCAAAACTTAAAAAGACAAATAGAAAAGGGAAAGTCACGATCCTCCACACTCCTGCCTCCCAGAGTGAGTCCCTCCCTACACACCGCCCCTGCACCACCCCAGGCATGGCTGGAGCAGGGTCAGTCCCGGTGAGATGCTCACTGTTCCCAGGACCACCTCTCCCTTCTGGTCTTTTCCCTCACACTGCCTGACTTGTCTGTAAGGGGCCAGGTATCAGTGGTAGGCACGACCAGTGTGGTCTCCTCCCAGCAGAAGCCAAGACTTCTTGTTACATAGATAAAACAAGTACATGGTCAGACACCCAAAAGAGTGGCTGTTACTGAAAACCCTTACTATGAATGTGTGTACAAAATACAAGCATACATAAATGTACCTGTACCTTGATATCCCCAGCACCAAGGCAGACAAACCCTCATGGAGCTTGCAGTCTATTGGGTGCCAGCTCCTTGGCCACTAGAGCAGTGATTCTCAGTTGCGGGAGGGAAGATTCTCTCCCTCAGCCCCAGGAGACATTTGGCAAAATCTGGAGATATTTCTGATGATCTATATGGGAGTGCATCGGCATTTAGTATTATAGTTAGAGGCCAAAGATGTTGTTAAACTTTCCAGGACAGCCCACCACCCCCAATAAAAAAAGTATCCAGCCCAAAATGTCATAGTGCTGAGCCTGAGAAACCCTGCACTACAGTCCTACAAGCCGACTCTGCCAGACAATCTATAAGGTCACTTGAGAGGATTATTTAAGACCCAAAACTCTAGCACCATCCCAGACTAGGGTTTACATTTCTTTGGACCACCCCCATATGATCTAAGGACATCCCTGGTAAGCCAACAAGAATGAATGTGTGTCTTTGTGGCCCTAAATAGGGGGCAGATGCTGGTAGAGTTGATGGATTTTTAGGTACCCATCTATCCTGTTTAATATTAGGGGGTATAGATTTGGGATACTTCTCTTTAGCACCTGGTAGTTGTTATTGTAGTTTAATTTTTAAAACCAGAAATGTTCAAGTTGTTGCTTCTAGAAAAACGAGTGTGGTGTTTAGGCTTCAAGTGCAAGCTCTGGGCACCTTCAGCATCCCTCCAGGAGAACACTGACATGCATGGACCCATTCTGTTTCTGGGTGGCCAGCCCCGTGCAAGACAGAGAAGGAGAGAGAAAACACATCCGAGCAAAGAGAAGGCTGCGGGTGGAGAGTTGAGGAAGACAGTCTTAGGAAAAGCTTCGTGACTTGGTCTTGTGCAAGGTGTGGGATTTGAAGTCCAGAGACCTAGGCTCCAGCTCCAGCTGTCTTGTATGAAGTTGGGGAAGCGTTTAGCCTTTGTTTATGTCCATTAGCTCCTTTTTTTTTTTTTTTTTTTTTGAGACAAGGTCTCACTCTGTCACCCAGGCTGGAGTGCAGTGGTGTGATCTCGGTTCACTGCAACCTCCGCCTCCTGGGTTCAAGTGATTCTTCTGCCTCAGCCTCCCAAGAAGGTGGGACTACAGGCACACGCCACCATGCCCAGCTAATTTTTGTATTTTTAGTAAGAGACGGGGTTTCACCATGTTGGCCAGGCTGGTCTTGAACTCTTGACCTCGAATGATTTGCCCACCTTGGCCTCCCAAAGTGCTGGGATTACAGGCATAGCCACTGCGCCCGGCCTAGCTCCTTTTAAAATTTGGGATAGTCACCCCTACTTGTCATTGCAGGGTTGATGTGCAGATTACACTGGGTTTTGTGTGTGAAAATGCTTTGACAAGTGCAAATGTAGCACAAATGTTATTCACAGTGAAAATGAGTTTTAACTATTGATACCAATATTTGCCCAGTGCTTTTAACTTGCCACAGGCATTGAAATCCCAGTTAATTCATGTCGGGTGTGTGGGCTCTGGGTAGGGCAAGGGATGGGTGGTGGTGGGAAGGGAGGAAGAAGATAGGGTCAGCAGAGGACAGGGACAGAGGTGACACCCCATTTGAGGGCTGAGGGGTGGGGGTACAGAGGTCGCAAAGTGAAAAGACTGTCCTAATTCATAGGGCTTCGTTCCCACTTCCCACCAGGTCTCCCGCGCCAGGCCTGCTTGGCCCATCCCATGTGCTAGTCTGGCCTGTGGCACGTGTGACCTTAAGTTGTTGTTCCTGCCCATGGACACCTTTTTGAAAGCCCAGTCAGTCCCTGCCATCTTGGTCAAGACTTATGGTGAATGAAGAGCAAAGGGGCCTTCTGGGGCTCTTCCCATCGCCCTCCTGCTCCTGTACACAGCAGAGCCAGATTGTGATTGATTTTTCCTGATATTACATGACCAGAGTGAGGGATGATTCAAAGGCTTCTTTTTTTTTCTTTTTTGAGATAAAGTCTCACTCTGTCGTCCAGGCTGTAGTGCCATGGCACGATCTTGGCTCACTGCAACCTCCACCTCCCAGACTCAAGCGATTCTCCTGCCTCAGCCTCCCGAGTAGCTGGGACTATAGTCCTGCGCCACCACACCCAGCTATTTTTTGTTTTTTTAGTAGAGACGAAGTTTCACCATGTTGGCCAGGCTGGTCTTGAACTCCTGACCTCAAGTGATCCATCCACCTTGGCCTCCCAAAGTGCTGGGATTACAGGCATGAGCCACTGCACCCAGCCAAAGACTTCTTTCTGTGAAACTTCCTGGGGCCACCACTTTCCGTTACAGCTTTCATTCTCAAAGGAGTCTCAAGAATTCTGCAAAGAGGCTGCTTGCGGGTCTGTTGCCCAGAAGCAACCTGTCAGCGTTGACACTAAGACAACATGTGTGCTTTTGCTCCTGGCAAAGACTAATGGTTTGCTTATGGAAATAATAGGCGTCATTTATCAAATGTCTCCCATGTGCGAGGCACTGTGTTCAATATGTGACACCGTCCCTAGTCCGAACAACCTGTACCGTGAGTGATAATAACCTTGCCTTACAGATGCTGAAACTGGGACTCAGAGTTGTTAATCACTCATTCAGGGTCACACAGCCTATGTTGGCAGAGTAAGAGCCTGAACCCATGAATGCAGGGCTCCGGAGCCCAGAAGGGCCCTTCCCAGTGCTCCTGACTGCTGCTCCACTCAACTCATTCTTTCTAGGCTCTTGGCAAGGACTGTGCCATGCCAGAGAGAGAGAGAGATTGTGTGTGTGTGTGTGTGTGTGTGTGTGTGTGTGTGTGTGTGTGTGTGTTGGGGAAGTACTGTTTGGTTTGGGTTTTTTGCACTGACATGAGAAAGAATGGGGTGCTGGGTAATCTTTTTCAGGGTTGAGAGACGCTATAATGAAGGAAAGCTCAGCATCCTTGAGTTGGGGTAGATGTTGCCCATGACTCTGTGTCAGGCAGATGGCTTTTATTCATTCATTCCCAGATACTTCTGGATGGCTGTTTCGTAGGGAGCATTGTGTGTGGATGTCGTAAGTGATGGAAATGGATGGGGCAGGATGGCCATCTGGGAGCCTCTGCCTCCTTGGTCAGCCCTGCGTGTCCATGACTACAGCATAGGGAGGGGACTTGAGCCTCACTAGTAGGTTCTTTGAATATGTTGATTGGTTGTGCTGGAATGGATCGGTTCTCTCCACCACTTAAAGTTCAGCTTAGTTGTCATTCGTGTCCCCCCCCCCAAAATGACATAGGGCGTGGTGAGGCTGGTAGTGATTGTAAATATATGCTCGCTCCTGTTATAATCGTTTGGAAATTGACCCAGTACAGGGCATGTGGCATGAAAATGCAGGCCACCCCAATGGCCTGCCCCGGTGCCCTAACAGCAGAGCCCAGCAAACTTTGAGTACTTGTGAGGCCTCATCTCACCAACAGCTTTTTCTTTTCTGTTCCCTGTGCAGTACCTGCAGATGAAATGGCCCCTCCTCGATGTCCCCTCCAGCGCCACAGTCAAGGACACGAGGTCACCATCTCCAGCACACTTGGTAAGTCTGTTTCACCTTAAAGCACCAAAGGGCCACTATTAGTGGCCTCATCCCATGCCACTGCCTTCTGCCATCACGCTGAAGCAGATGGGGTCCAACAGTGTTTCCTCAAATGTGTGAGTACAGTGAGGAAGAGCTGAGTGCTTGGGGCTAACAATTGGGTTGTGACCTCAACACACACACCACACCGCCTCAGATGTTTTGTAATTGGAATAGCCGTCCCCCAACCCCCATGGCCCTGGCTGCTCACCCTGGTTCATCACAGAAGCCTGCCTGCGATCCTTCCCGGCTGCCATCTGAACCCGCTGCCCACTTCACGTGGGCAAGGGTGGCTTCTCTGTCCTGTTGAGGCTTACCCAGAATTGCCTCCTCTTCTCCCTCATAGCTGCCAGGCAATAGTTGAAGAGGCTCTTCTGTTTTTGTTTTTGTTTTTGTTTTTGTTTGTTTTTTGAGACGGAGTCTCGCTCTTTTGCCCAGGCTGGAGTGCAGTGGCACAATCTTGGCTCACTGCAACCTCTGCCTCCCAGGTTCAAGCGATTCTCCTGCCTCAGCCTCCCAAGTAGCTGGGACTACAGGCATGTGCCACCACGCCTGGCTAATTTTTGGTATTTTTAGTAGAGACGGTGTTTCACTGTGTTAGCCAGGATGGTCTCGATCTCCTGACCTCGTGATCCGCCAGCCTTGGCCTCCCAAAGTGCTGAGATTACAGGCATGAGCCACCGCGCCCGGCCGAAGAGGCTCTTCTGTACAGGATGTTATAGGAAAGAATTCAATAGGACGTATGCAAACAAATGCTCCTCAGGGCAGCCGAGCCTCTTCTGCCAGGCCCTGTGGCAATACCAGCTGGAAAGGAGGGTCTGGACAATCCTGGGAGACAGGAGCAGTGGATCCAAGCAGTACCTCTGGCCTCCTCAGGACATGCAAAGGACTGAAACCCAAAGCTGATAAGAGATGCTCCTGGAACAGAACCAGATATCCTACTTTCCTGGGCTTTTCCTGGGTGCTTGGGTCAACACTTGCCTTAAGATGCACTCACCCCACAAGCTAACTGGTGCTCGCCGACTGTACAGTGAGCCTCAGAATCAGGGAATGCGGTTAGAAGGGACCCTCATCCTGCATGACCTATGCATTTTACAGACGAGCAGACATAGGACTTCACTGTTACTGCCCTGTACTAGGTATTAGGCGTTGGGCTTCTATGATGTTTATTAAAGTTTAATTACAGAAAATTTTAAAGATGTATCAAAGTAGAGAGAATTACATAATGAATCCCCATGTTCCCTTCACCCAGAATTTCCCTCCTGCTACATAGGGGATTTAAAGTGAATCCCAGACATTACTTCATCTCATAGGACATTTTAAGAGATACTGATAGCTGGGCGCAGTGGCTCACGCCTGTAATCCCAGCACTTTGGGAGGCCGAGGTGGGCGGATCACGAGGTCAGGAGATCGATACCATCCTGGCTAACACGGTGAAACACCGTCTCTACTAAAAATACAAAAAATTAGCCAGGCGTGGTGGCGGGCGCCTGTAGTCCCAGCTACTAGGGAGGCTGAGGCAGGAGAATGGTGTGAACCCCGGAGGCGGAGCTGATAGTGAGCCGAGATCGCGCCACTGCACTCCAGCCTGGGTGACAGAGCGAGACTCTGTCTCAAAAAAAAAAAACTGATAATTCTTATTCATTAAAAGCTTAGAGTCTAGCAGAAGAGAAAGAAGATATGTGCAGAAAGCTAAATAAATAAGGGTGCAGGGAGCCTGTATGATTTCCAGTAATCAGGAGACCTGCTCCTGTGGAGCCCTTGGGAGTTTACAGTGGGATCTACAGTGGGATGCCACATGCAGCTCTCAGGTGATTGTCACAGCCATCACCAGGGAGTCAGGCAAGGATGACAGTGGAAGGAACCGTGAGTGCGGGACCAGCCATCCGGGAAAGGCAGCAGGTTCTGCAGCCAGTCGCCAAGGCACAAGCTGCTGTTGAACAAGCACTCCACACCTCAGGCATAAGCCAGGGTAGTGGCTTTGGCCCAGAGTCCCACTTGGGATAGCCAAGCACGAGGCGCGGGTGCCCTCTAGTGGTGCCAGTCAGCCCTGGTGGAGGATGTGCGGACCACATCTGCCCACCCTAGACCTGGCTCGTGCCCTGCACCTCCCCCCAGTGCAGCCATCTCTGTTTCAGATCTGTGCCTTCCTCTACCTCTCCTGTGCCGTCTGCCAGCCCACTCCTGAAGACCTGAGATGGCTGGGTCCTCTGTCTTAGTTTCTCTCTGCATATTGTCGCATCTCCATCTACTTTTCAAGAATGTTATTTCCCTTTAAAAACTAACACATGAGGCCGGGCGTGGTGGCTCACGCCTGTAATCCCAGCACTTTGGGAAGCTGAGGCAGGCAGATAACCTCAGGTCGAGAGTTCGAGACCAGCCTGACCAATGTGGAGAAATCCTGTCTCTACTAAAAATACAAAATTAGCCAGGCATGGTGGCGCATACCTGTAATCTCAACTACTCAGGAGGCTGAGGCAGGAGAATCGCCTGAACCCGGGAGGCAGAGGTTGCAGTGAGCCGAGATTGTGCCATTGAACCCCAGCCTGGGCAGCAAGAGCAAAACTCCATCTCAAAAAAAAAAAAAAAAAAATCGGCGTGGTGGTACGCGCCTGTAATCCCAGCTATTTGTGAGGCTGAGGCAGGAGAATTGCTTGAACCCAGGAGGTGGAAGTTGCAGTGAGCTGAGATTGCACCACTGCACTCCAGCCTGGGCAACAGAGCAAGACTCTGTGACTCAAAAAACAAACAAACAAAAAAAAAAACTAACATATAGTGGCCAGGTATGGTGGCTCATGCCTTTAATCTCAACACTTTGGGAGGCCAAGGAGGGAGGATTGCTTGAGGCCAGGAGTTTGAGACCAGTCTGGGCAACATGGTGAGATCTCTACAAAAAAGACGGAGTTTTGCTCTTGTTGCTCAGGCTGGAGTGCAATGGCGCGATCTTGGCTCACCACAACCTCTGCCTCCTGGGTTCAAGCGATTCTCCTGCCTCAGCCTTCCAAGTAGCTGGGATTACAGGCATGTGCCACTATGCCCGGCTACCTTTGTATTTTTAATAGAGACAGGGTTTCTCCACGTTGGTCAGACTGGTCTCAAACTCCCAACCTCAGGTGATCCACCCTCCTCGGCCTCCCAAAGTGCTGGGATTACAGGCGTGAGCCACTGCGCCTGGCCAAAATTTTTAAAATTAGCCAGATGCAGTCATTCACACCTATAGTCCCATTTACTCAGGAGGCTGAGCTGGGAGTTCGGAGCTGCAGTGAGCCATGATTGTGCCACTGCACTCTAGCCTGGGTGACAGAGTGAGACCCTGTCGTGAACAAAAAAACAAAACTAACACGTGTACTCTGAGTTTCCCATTCTTCCTTTTGCACAGAGCAATCCTCTGAGAAATGAAAGAAAAACCCTGTGTTCAGCCTTCCTGTTCCTGTGAGCACCGTCCTGTTTCTTTTTTATTGTTTACCGCCTGACTTCCCACACCTCTGTCACCTCCTTTATTCTGCCACTCCACTGCAGCCCGGCTTAGCGCTTCAGTCACCATCGAATAACTAACTCCACTCATTTTCCTGCTTTTTTGCAACACAGCCGACAGCCAAGGCCTGACTACTCTCTGCTTCCTGTAAATCTTATCATTGACTCCAAGATACTGTATTAATACACATAATCAGTTGTTTGTCTTTTTGAAGCTTCCATTTTCTTTCTAGACTTTTATTCAAATAAATCAACTCTTCATCATCACTTATTCCTCTCAATGTTTGTGACAGAAAAAATATATAAAATCCCATCAAGAGAGCTGTAGAACTCTCAAGAAAGTTCTACACCCGTAGTTCCAACTGCCAAACAAACATCTAACCATTGCAGATGTGTGCTCTGCAAATAATAACTCAGCATTGTGGTGGAGCAGGGGTCCCTTATTTTGTCTAAGGGCAGAGAAGCATGAACCGTTGCCACACATGGCATTATAGATAGCAACATGGATAGTTTTCTAGTAAATTTTATATTACCGTAGTCTATATTATAATATAGCAAAGCAGACACAGGCCTCAAAAACTTAAGGAACATTTATGGGAGAAAATCTTAACTGGGAATTCAACAGATGGGGAGAAGACCATCATTCTCAGTTTTTGAGGCAGAGCATCTCATTCCAACGAGAGGTGTGTACGTGCAGGAGCAAAACCTGAGACACCCGGGGAGGAGGGTATATGAGTGGGAGGCTGTATAATACACTTGGTTGCAATCCCAGATCCACCTCTTTCTATTTATGCAGCTCCAAGCAAATTACCTCATCTCTCTTTGCCTTGGTTTCCTCATCTATTAAATGGGGATTAGAAGAGACTGACTTCATAGAGTCGTTGTGCGAAAATGAGCCAGTGTATTGTAATGAGTCTAGAATTGTGCCTCTACCACAAAATAAGTCCTCAATAACTATTAGCTTACTACTCCCAGCGTCACCACCACCACTACCGCTACCTCTACTATTATTAAATGAGAGGGAAAGAACAACGAAAATACTGTTTAATTAGCAAAACTAAGAGGTAATGAGGGCCTGAATTAGGTGCCAGAACAAATGGACAGATTGCAGAGGTAACAGAGATAATGAGCCTATAGAATTTAGCATCTAATCCCCCAAGGATATGATTTAATTGGTCTGGGGTGCGGCTGGTATCTTAGTTTTTAAGCTCCCCAGGAGATTCCAAGGGGCAGCCAGAGTCGAGGATCATTGTTGTAATTGCAAATCACAAACCAGAGGCGGAGTGGAAGGAGGACCTAGAGACATCCCAGTTTACTCCATGCGGCTCTCCAGGCTAGACGTGTGAGCAGAACTTGAAGGTTTTTCGGAGGGAGTCACAGAGGTTTGGACACCGGCTTTTTTGTTAAAATACTTGAGATTATGAAATGTATTTTAGAGTCAGGAGTAAAATATTTAAGGTGAGGTTTGCCCTGGGAGTAGAGCAAGCGAAGGAAACAGCCTGCATACTTGCAGAGATTTAGTGAGTCATGTAGAAGCTGCCTAACAAGGAAGTATGTCTAAGCAAGTCACAACTGGGCCCGGGTGCGGGATGAAGTTAAGTGCTTAATAATTTGGACTTTACACCTTCAAAACAAGCTCTAAAGACTAACAGTAACATTGTATAAGCAACTATTTGTAAGATCCGATCAGTGTAATTTCATCACTTGCAGATTATTATCCAGACCCCTCACCATGGCCCCACATGCCAGGTGCCTGTCTTCCCTCCAGTGTCCCCCAGGAGCACTGTGTCCAGCCACGCAAAACACATATATGCCCCTCTAGAATATAAGCAACACGAAGACAGGAATCGCATCTGAGCGCCTGTTGTAATGCTCGGGAGCATTTGTTGAATGAATGGAAGAATGAATGGTCTGGTAAAAAGTTAATACCCCTTCTCTACCCACATTTACCCAAGATCCAACCCCTTTTTTCATTCAGAACTGTTTTTTAATTTTAAAAAATCTTTTTTTGAAACCGTAAAAGTAATGCATGCACTGTGTAGAACTCTTGGGAAAATGCCAGAAAGCACAGAAAAAGATCTATAATCCCACAACCCACAAACATTTTGTTAAATAGTATTTCAGTCTGGAGTGTGTGTGTGTGTGTGTGTGTGTGTGTGTGTATACTTATAACTTGCTCTCTGATGACCAAAATGCTTCCTGTCCAGGTAGATGCCTAATAAATTCTGCTGAGTTACAGGCAAATGGGGCCAGAGACCCAGAGACCAGGAGACAAATAATCCAGATAACTTGGAAATGGTTGCAGTTCTCCAAAACTTTAGAGTGACTTAATCCAGCTTTTTGGAAAATGGTCAGATATTCAGGGGTTTTTTAATGCAAATTTTAGCTGTTAGGCTGAGCATCCAGAATCAGAAAAGGGACCTAGAGAGTAAGGAGTTGAGGGATAGAGGAAGGTGTAGAGAAAAATCTAGATGAGGTTAGTGCAAAGGCAGAAATATCTACCACCTTTGAAACTTTGCCACCTCTCTCTTCCTGGTTGCCTTTTATTTAAACATTTTAAAAATAGATAGACATAGATGGTTTCCAGTTGTTTGTTTGTTTTGAGACAGTCTCACTGTTGCCCAGGCTGGAGTGCAGTGGCACAAACTCAGCTCACTGCAACCTCCACCTCCTGGGTTCAAGAGATTCTCCTGCCTCAGCCTCCCGAGTACCTGGGATTACAGGTATTCACCACCACGCCCAGCTAATTTTTTTGTATTTTTAGTAGAGACGGGGTTTCATCATGTTGGCTAGGCTGGTCTGGCACTCCTGGCCTCACGGGATCCGCGCACCTCAGCCTCCCAAAGTGCTGGGATTACAGGCACGAGCCACCACGCCTAGCCCAGTTTTTTTTTTTTTTTCTCCGAGACAGAGTCTCACTATGTCGCCCAGGCTGGAGTGCAGTGGTGCGATCTCAGCTCACTGCAACTTTCACACTCCGGGTTCAAGCAATTCTCCCTGCCTCAGCCTCCCAAGTAGCTGGGATTACAGGCGCCTGCCACCACACATGGCTAATTTTTGTATTTTTTTAGTAGAGACGGGGTTTCACCATGATAGCCAGGCTGGTCTTGAACTCCTGACCTCAGGTGATCTGCCCGCCTTGGCCTCCCAAAGTGCTGGAATTACAGGCGTGAGCCACCTCACCCGGCCCCAGTTTTTAAGCTAAAGTTAGCATCCTGTGCATATATTTGTATACGTGTGCGCTTTTCCCCCCATTTAAAAAAAATTAGAGTTAGGGTCTCGCTATGTTGCTCAGGCTGGCCTTGCACTCCTGGCCTCAAGTGATCCGCCTGCCTCAGTCTCCAAAAGTGCTAGGATTACAGGCATGAGCCATCATGCCCAACCTCCCCATTTTTAAGATATAATTTACATATAGTGAAATTCACATGAGTATATAGTTCTGTGAGTTTTGACAAACTTTTGCAGTCATACATGAGTTCACCACAATCAAGATATAGAACAGTTCTCCTAGTCAGCTTAGCTTGGTATGAAAAGTAAAAATAAAAAAGATATAGGACAGTTCTGTGTTAGGGTTCTCCAGGGAAACAGAACCAAGGTGATGTATGTATATATAGCGAGTGAGTGAGTGAGTGTGAATGTGTAGAGGGAGAAAGATTTAAGAGGGTAAGCTGGCAGGCTGGAGACTGGCAGGGAAGAGTTACAGTCTAAGTCTAAAGGCAGTCTGCTAGCAGAGTTCTATTCAATTTAATGCTCAAGAATAATCCTCTTTGGCACCATTCATTCTCTGTCCTTCCAGCCCACCAGGATGGGAGCTGGGAGCTGTGCCCCTGAGGCCCTGGGCGGCAGCCACACCTTGTGAATCCCCTCTTGGGGTCATTCTTCCCTCTTCTTGAAAGATAACAAATGTTTGCAGCCACATCACTGTAGCCCATTCTGTAGAAGTCTGACAGCCTTCCTTCCCTTTGTCCTGTCTTTGTCCATTTTAATCCAAAAGGGCAGTATTTCTGCTGAGGTGGTTGGTTGAATCCATGCTTCACAGCCCCAGTCTCATTATCTGATCGTCCAGCCACACCATTGGTGTTCTCTTAGGAACACACCTTCTCATTTTTTTGCAATGAGGCTAGGCTGAGAATTTTCTAAATTTTCAAGTTCTGGTTCCTTTTTGCTTAACAATAATTTACTTCTCACATTTTACTACAAGCAGTAAGGAGAAACCAAGCCACACCTTCAGCACTTTGCTTAGAAATAACTTGTGCTGAATATCTAAATTCATCACTCACAAGTTCTACCTTTCACAAAACACTACAAAATAACTCAGCCATGTTTCTTCCCACTTTGTAACAAGAATCGCCTTTCCACTAGTTCCAATAACATGTTCCCCATTTCCATCTGAAGCCTCACCGGAAGCACCTTTAACATCCATATTTTTGGGGTTTTGTTTTTGTGTGTATGTGTTTGTTTTGGTTTTAGTTTTGGTTTTGGTTTTGGTTTTGGTTTTGGTTTTAGGACGGAGTTTCACTCTTGTCACCCAAGCAGGAGTGCAATGGCACATGATCTCAGCTCACTGCAACCTCCACCTCCTGGGTTCAAGAGATTCTCCTGTCTCAGCCTCCCGGATTTTGGTTTTTTGTGCTTTGTTGAGAGACAGGATCTCACTCTGTCACCTAGGCTGTAGTGCAGTGGCATGATCATAGCTCACTGCAGCCTAAACTCAAGCATTCCTCCCTCCTCAGCCTCCCAAGTAGCTAGGACTACAGGTGTGCACCACCACATCCAGCTATTTTTATTATTTGTTGTAGAGATGGGGTTCCACTATATGGCCCAAGCTGGTCTTGACCTCCCAGGCTCAAGTGATCCTTCTGTCTCAGCCTCCCAAAGTGCTGAGTTTACTGGTCATATGTATTTTTTTTTTTTTTTTTTTTTTTTTTTTTTTTTTTTTTTTTTTTTGAGACGGAGTCTCGCTCTGTCGCCCAGGCTGGAGTGCAGTGGCACGATCTCGGCTCACTGCAAGCTCCGCCTCCCGGGTTCACGCCATTCTCCCGCCTCAGCCTCCCAAGTAGCTGGGACTACAGGCGCCCGCCACTACGCCCGGCTAATTTTTTGTATTTTTAGTAGAGACGGGGTTTCACCGTTTTAGCCGGGATGGTCTCGATCTCCTGACCTCGTGATCCGCCCGCCTCGGCCTCCCAAAGTGCTGGGATTACAGGCGTGAGCCACCGCGCCCGGCCGGTCATATGTATTTTTAAGGGAGAATGGGAACATTTCAATGGTAGCTGCCTTTGGGAAGTGGGGAGGAGCATAAGACTGGTGGAGTGTTTAAGAGGATTTAACTTTCTGTGATGTTTTATTTAAGAAAAAAAGAACAAAATTTAAAAGCTATAAAAACAATCCCACATGGCAGGTTTTGGGTGTGGTATCATTCTTTATACTTTTCTGTATTTCTCAAAAAATATTTTTGTAGACTTTATGTCTTAAGTTAGCTATTTCTCTCTTTTTGTTTTTTAAGACAGGGTCTTGCTCTGTCACCCAGGCTGGAGTGCAGTGGCACAATCTTGGCTCACTTCAACCTCCACCTCCTGGGCTCAAGTGATCCTCCCACCTCAGCCTCCCAAGTAGCTGGAACCACAGGTGTGCACCATCATGCCCAGCTAATTTTTTGTATTTCTTATAGAGACGGGGTTTCGGCATGTTTGCCAGGCTGGTCTCAAACTCCTGGGCTCACCCAATCTGGCTGCCTTAGCCTCCCAAAGTGCTGGGAATACAGGCATGAGCCACCACACCCAGCCCAAGTCAACTATTTCTTTCATAATGCTGTGTAACAAACAATTCAGTGGCTTACATTAGTAAACATTTCTTTTTCCACTGATGGACCTGTGGGTCACTTGGAGTGGCTGTTTTAGCTTGTTAAGGGGGAGGTTCAGGTCTTCTCCACATGGCTCTTATCCCAGGACCAGTGGCTATCCAGGTCATGTCCTTCTCATGGCATGTGGCAGATACAAAAGAAGGGAAGCAGATTGAAAGCTTCCTTTCACTTCATTTCATGTCCACTAATATTCCATTGGTCAGAGCAAGTCATAAGGTGATATGGTGTGGATCTGTATCCCCACCCAAATCTTGTGTCTAACTGTAATCCCCAATGTTAGAGGTAGGGCCTGGTGGAAGGTGACTGAATCACGGGAGTGGTCCTTCATGAATGGTTTAGCACCATCTCCTGGTGCCATTCTTGTGATGGCGAGCAAGTTTTTATAAGATCTGGTCATTTAAAAGTGTGCAGGACCTCCCCCCACTCTTTCTGTCTTGTTCCTCCTCCACCAAGTAAGATGCGCCTGCTTCCCTTCACCTTTCTCCATGATTAAAAGTTTCCTGAGGCCTCCCCAGGAGCCGAGCAGGTGCCAGCATCATGCTTTCTGTACAGCCTGCTTAACTGTGAGCCAATTAAACCTCTTTTCTTTATAAATTACCCAGTCTCAGGTATTTCTTTATAGCAATGCAAGAACAGACTAATACGTAGGGGCAAGTCTAATACTGATGGGGCAAGGGAAGGAAAGAGAATTATAAATAAATAGTAAAAGCAAACACATGGCTACATCCTGACCTATTGATCTTGTTTAGCATTTGAGATTCAAGAATGTAGAACATACTCTAAACAGAAATAAATTATTGCAAGTGTTAACAGTCTCGTGTCCAAGTACTTCCTGTCAGAGTTTAGCATCTTCAGTAGGATCAAAATTAGAATTTCTCTTGGTTGTCGTCTTCTCAGTATTAGAAGGACCCTACCAATACTGTTTAGACACTGGCAGCATCTTCCTTATCATCCGGTTGGTGGGTCTCTTGAGCAGGCATCGGAGTCATCTGGGGAACTTGTTAAAACAAAGATTGCTGAACCCCACCCCTAGAGTTTCTGATGGAATTTAGGTGTGGCCTGAACACTGGGATTTTTTTTTTTTTTTTTTTTTTTTTTTTGAGATGGGGTCTCCCTCTGTCGCCCAGGCTGGAGTGCAGTGGCACGATCTTGGCTCACTGCAAGCTCCACTTCCCGGATTCACGCCATTCGCCTGCCTCAGCCTCCTGAGTAGCTGGGACTACAGGCACCCGCCACCACGCCCGGCTAATTTTTTGTGTTTTTAGTAAAGACGGGGTTTCACCATGTTAGCCAGGACAGTCTCGATCTCCTGACCTTGTGACGTGCCCGCCTCGGCCTCCCAAAGTGCTGGGATTACAGGCGTGAGCCACCACGCCTGGCCGAGCATTGGGAATTTTAAAAGCTCTCTGGATGATTTCAACTCTGGGTGAATCACACTTTGCAGAGTTTGATTCAGTGGGTCGCGGTAGGTCGAGCCTGAGAATTTGCATTCTAACAAGTTTCCAGGTGATGCTTATGCTGCTGGTCTGGGGACTGAGCTTTGAGAACCACTGGCATAGGGACATTGTCTGCACTAGTAATGGTAAACACCCAGTTTTAGCATTGCAAATTGGGTCACTCTCAGAAGCAAACTGGAGAGTTTCATGTCAAATTATTGATTGCTGAGCCAGTGCTGGATGCTCTCTGAAAGAACATCAATAGCTCTGCCCCAGCTTTGAGCTGAGAAACCTGACGCTGCTTAACATGCCAATTCTCAAAAATATTCATTGGAATTTCCCTTTTACAACTGTACATACAGCCAGGCACGGTGACTCACACCTGTAATCCCAGCACTTTGGGAATCTGAGGTGGGAGGATCACTTGAGCTCAGGAGTTCGGGACCAGCCTGGGCAACATAGTGCGACCTCACCTTTACTAAAAATAAAAAAAATTAGCCGGGCATGGTGGCACATACCTGCAGTCCCAGCTACTCGGGAGGCTGAGGTAGGAGGATTGCTTGAGCCCAGGAAGTTGAAGCTGCAGTGAGCCATGATCAGGCCACTGCACTCCAGCCTGGGTGACTGAGACCCTGTCTGAAAAAAAAAATTTTTTTAAATAAAATTCTACATAACTTCTCCATCTTCTTACCAGTATACCTGTGTAGATGCAGAAAACTCCAAAACCCATAGCATATCCTGTTGGTGCTCTGTACTACCCTCAATACTGATTGTAATTCTTAATACACAGTAATAACTTTTGTTTTGTTTTGCTTTGTTTTGTTTTTTGAGACGGAGTATTGCTCTTGTCACCCAGGCTGGAGTGCAATGACGCGATCTTGGCTCACCGCAACCTTTGCCTCCCAGGTTCAAGCGATTCTCCTGTCTCAGCCTCCCTAGTAGCTGGGATTACAGGCATGTGCCCGCATGCCCGGCTAATTTTGTATTTTTAGTAGAAACAGGGTTTCTCCATGTTGGTCAGGCTGGTCTCGAACTCCCGACCTCAGGTGATCTGCCCGCCTCGGCCTCCCAAAGTGCTGGGATTACAGGCATGAGCCACCGTGCCTGGCCACTTTTGGGTATTATTTTAACTCCCAGAAAAGTTTCAAGAATAATACAAGGAACTCCCATATAACCTTTATCCAGATTCACACATTTTTCCCCTGGGCTTTGTGCTTCTCTTTCTCTCTCTCTCTCTCTGTTTTTTCTTTTCTGAAAAGTTTGAGAGTAACTTGGAAACATTGTGACCCTTTACCCTTAAATATTTTAGCTATATTATCTAAGAACAAAGGCATTCTCTTAAATAATCACAGTACAGTCCTCAAAATGAAGAAAGTAACATTTACTTTTTTTTTTTTTTTTTTTTTTGAGACCGTCTCGTTCTGTCGCCCAGGCTGGAGTGCAGCGGCACGATCTCGGCTCACTGCAGCCTCCGCCTCCTGGGTTCAAGTGATTCTCCTGCCTCAGCCTCCTGAGTAGCTGGGATTACAGGTGCCCACCACCACGCCCAGCTAATTTTTGTATTTTTAGTTGACACAGGATTTCGCCATGTTGGCCAGGCTGGTCTCAAACTCCTGACCTCAAATGATCCACCTGCCTCGGCCTCCCAAAATGCTGGGACCATAGGCTTGAGCCATCATACCCAGCCAGTAACATTAACTTTTCATGTCATTATCTTACTCACAATATAGATTGAACTTTTGGCCGTGTCCCAATAATGTCCATGATAGCCCATGTGTTTCTCCTGGTCCCAGGTTCCACCTGGCATCATGGATTACATGTAGCCCTCATGTCTCTTTAGTTCCCTCGAATCCAGCAGAGGTCCTTAGCCTGTCTTTGTCTTTCTTGACCTTCACATTTTTTGAGAAGTACAGGCCAGCTGTTTTGTAGAATGTCCCTTAGTTTGGGTTTGTCTGATGTTTCGTCATGGTTAGATTCAGATTGTGCATTTTTGGCCAGAATGTCACTGCACTAAAGTTGCATCCTCGTTACCTCATTTCAGGAGGTAGCCCTACAGTCTGCCTTTGTCCCAGTATTAGTGATGTTAGCATCAACTGTTTGGATTAGGTGGTATCTGACAAACGTTTCCACCCTAGGGTAACAATTTTTCCCTTTGTAATTAATAAGTGTTTTGTAGGGAGAGGCTCCAAGGCTATGCCAATGCCCTATTTCTCATCAATTTTTCACCCACTAGTTTTAGCAGGCAGTGATGGTTTTCCACCTGCATCGTTCCTTCTGTTCATTTCTGCTGTTGAGCTTCAGCGTCTTTGAAATTCTTACTCATGTCTCCCAGCCCATTCGTCTTTGTATAGACTGGAGTTGACATTGTGGCAAGTCACATTTGTGCCATTTGTAACTGTGATGAGAAAGTCGCTGATAGATACAGAGAAAAAAAATTAAAAACCATTCTACAAATAGTGTTTCTAAAGAAGAGACCAAACTGAAGGAAAAGAGGCAATTAAGAAAGTTAAAATGGGCTCTAAAAACAAAAACTTGAATTTATGGATTGAAAGAGCTCCTTTGAATTCTATAAAACTCAATGAAAATTGACATTCACCTAGACATATCCTAAAAACAGTTCAAATTGCAAGGGTTTAGAAATGTTTTCCTTCAAGCACCCATGCAGAAGAGAAAAAAAGGCAAATGCCAAAGGAACAAAAATAAAGGTAACCTTAGGGCTGTCTTTTGCCACCCTTAATGCCAGCAAACAGTGGGAAAAGAAGAGTTTGGGTAAGGAAAGGCTTATCCCAAGAATGACAAATCCTGTCCTACTTGCAAAGACCTCAGAAACATACCATTGCTCAGAAGGACCTGAAAGCACATTCCAGGTCCCAGAGTCTTTTCTCTCTCCTATTGCCCTGCAGAGACTCTTGACTTACCTTCACATTTTTCGTAGCCTGCAGCACACCACTTTCAGGAGCTCAGAAAGTATTTGTTGACCCATCCGTACAGACCCTCATTCTCCTCTCTGCTGCAGCCCACTGGCCTGCCGTGGGTCCTCACACGTGCTATGCCAGGCATACTACACTAGTGTTTCTTTGGCCAAAATGTCCTTCCCCACAATCAACGTGTCCAGCTCCCCACTTCTTTCAAAATGTGAAAGTCATGCTCTCAGGCCAGGCGCAGTGCCTCACACCTGTAATCCCAGCATTTTGTGGGGCCCAGACAGGCAGATTGCTTAGTCCAGGAGCTCAAGACCAGCCTGGGTAACATGGCAAACCCCCATCTCTACAAAAAATACAAAAGTTAGCCCGGCATGGTGGGAAGATCCCGTGAGCCCAGGAGGCAGAAGCTGCAGTGAGCTGAGGTCACACCACTACACTCCAGCCTGGGGGGACACAGTGAGACTGTGTCTCCAAAAAAAAGTCATTTTCTCATTGACACCTTCCCTGGTCATCCTGGGAAACATCCTGTTTAACCTGCTCACCCCCTCTATATTTCTTTTCTACTTTCTCTTAGTTTTTCTTCTTAGCATTTTAACACTGTATTAAAATATTTTAATAAACTTATTTATCTAATATTTTTTATTTTATTTTATTTTTGTTTGAGACAGAGTCTCCCTCTGTCGCTCAGGATGGAGTGCAGTGGTGCGATCTCGGCTCACTGAAACCTCCACCTCCCAGGTTCAAGCGATTCTCCTGCCTCAGCCTCCCGAGTAGCTGGGATTATAGGCATGTGCCACCACGCCTGGCTAATTTTTATATTTTTACCGAGATCATGCCACTGCACTCCAGCCTGGGTGACAGAGTGAGACTCCATCTCAAAAAAAAAAAAAAAGTGCAGGCCGGGCGCGGTGGCTCACGCCTGTATCCCAGCACTTTGGGAGGTTGAGGTGGGCAGATCACGAGGTCGAGAGATCGAGACCATCCTGGCCAACATGGTGAAACCCCGTCTCTACTAAAAATACAAAAATTAGCTGGGCATGGTGGCGGGTGCACGTAGTCCCAGCTACTCGGGAGGCTGAGGCCAGAGAATTGCTTGAACCTGGGAGGCGGAGGTTGCAGTGAGTCGAGACTGCACTCCAGCCTGGTGACAGAGCAAGACTCTGTCTCAAAAAAAAAAAAAAAAAAAAAGCATGTGAGAGAGGACACATGGCTTCCTAGGGAGACCAGAGTTTAAAGACCTTTGTCTTGTACCAACTCTAGAAACAGACTGAAATAGACGGGAAACACCTGAGCTAGAAAGAGCTGGCTTGCAGCGCTTGCCTGAAGGATTTAGGTCTGAGGTGGCTCTCAGGGGCTCTTTGGATGCATCTGGATTCAGCTTCCTGGCCATGCACACCCATGCCCACGCTTGTGTGTTTTGTCCCTGTTGGGGTTATCCACAGAGGGGTGTGCGGTGGTTCCCTACATTCCTAGTCCTCGGTTTGGGTATATGCTGTGAACATCCTGCCCCTGGGGGCAGCTGAGGAGAGTAATGAGCAGGAACTTTTATTGGGACAGAAGCCTGCAAGGAGAACCTTCCTTCTAGGAGGCCACTATCTACTTACCGCCTTCCCTCCCGGTTCATTTTCTGGACAATGATGCCACCTAGTGGGAAACGGTAAGAACTCACACAGCATTTCGACAACTATACATAGATCTTCAAATAAAAATTTCCCTACTTTGTATTAGGTTGGTGCAAAAGTAATTGTGGTTTTGCCATTAAAAGTATGG
The DNA here is from genome assembly GCF_000001405.40 of Homo sapiens. Lineage (NCBI taxonomy): Eukaryota > Metazoa > Chordata > Mammalia > Primates > Hominidae > Homo > Homo sapiens. Next base: position 225,271 of record NW_025791763.1, read on the forward strand.
CCAAAACCACAATTACTTTTGCACCAACCTAATACTTAATTCTGTTACCCATTGAGTCCTGTTTGCTGGTTTCTCCCCAGGCCAAATACAGCACATGAGCAATCAGGATTTGCTAATACTATCACCAGTTTTTAAGACAGCTATAAATGATGTAAATAAATGTAAATTTAAAACTGATGCAGAGGCTGGGCGTGGTGGCTCACACCTGTAATCCCAGCACTTTGGGAGGCTGAGGCAGGGGGATCGCCTGATGTCAGGAGTTCAAAACCAGCCTGGCCAACATGGTGAAACCCCATCTCTACTAAAAATACAAAAAAATTAGCCGGACATGGTGGTGGGTGCCTGTAATCCCAGCTACTTGGGAGGTTGAGGCAGGAGAATCGCTTGAACCCAGGAGGCAGAGGTTGCAGTGAACCGAGATCACACCACTTGCACTCCAGCCTGGGTGACAGAGCAAGACTCTGTCTCAAAATAGAATAAAATTTTATTTTGAGCCACTGAGCCCGGCACAGTGGCTCACACCTGTAATCCCAGCATTTTAGGAGACCAAGGTGGATGGATTGCTTGAGCGCAGGAGTTCGAGAACAGCCTGGGCAACATGGTGAAACCGCGTCTCTACAAAATATTAGCGAGGTGTGGCAGTGCGCATCTGTAGTCCCAGCTACTTGGGAGGCTGAGGTGGGAGGATTGCTTGAGCCTGGGAGGTAGAGGCTGCAGTGAACCGAGATTGCACCACTGCACTCCAGCCTGGGCAACAGAGCGAGACCTTGTCTCAAACACACACACACACACACACACACACACACACACACACACACACTGATGCCCAGAAAGGCTTAATGAAAGGAGATATGCCAAAATGACCATAGCGACAGGGTTAGGATGGTGCAGTTATGTTGTCTAAATGCTTTGTGATACAATTATGATATAGTTTGCATTTCTTTCTTAGAAAGTTTGTGTTATTCATAGTATATTTTTTTAAGTAGTAGATCATGGTGAAAGTAAAGTTGGAAAATATGGAAAGAGAGACAATAAAGACAAAGTTACCCATAGTTTCACCACTCAAATATAACTTGTTTACATTTTTGGTGTGCTTCTATTTAGCCTTTTTTTAAATTACAGAGTTTATGTATTTTTTAATTGTGATTATGTATTTTCACGCTGGTAATAATTCTATTGGATTTATTTTACTAAAAGTCACCCTTTAGACAAAGCTGTTTCCAGAAACTATCATTAAGATGCATTGGCTTCCTGGAAATCTGATCTTACAATAATTTTTAATATTTTTGTGTTGTATGTTCATGTATATGGAGATATCTTCAAAAACGAGTAATTGGACAGGTGAAAACAGTAAGAAGACAGTACTTTTTAAATTCATGATGCAACATCCAGTGAGCCCACCAGCCACCAGCAGGGCCCAGCTGTGTGCTGGCGCCACCTGGTGGTCATGGTTATAAACGGTTTAATTCTCCGCCTCTCCTCTCTGCTTGGCACACTGAAAAGGAACAAGGCTGTGGTGAGCTCAAGGATACCCAGGAAATCTATGGATTGGAGTTTGCATTATGAGTACCAAATAGGCACCACATGAAAGGAAAGAAAGGTCTCATGGAATCTACGAAATGAAAAATTCAAAGAGGAATATAGCCATTTGGAGTTGTAGCCCTTGGGTTACCTCCAAATCATCTTTTTTACAAATCTCTTTTTTTTTTTTTTGAAATGGAATCTTGCTCTGTCACCCAGGCTGGAGTGCAGTGGCACGATCTCGGCTCACTGCAGCCTCTGCCTCCTGGGTTCCAGCAATTCTCCTGCCTCAGCCTCCTGGGTAGCTGGGACTATAGGCACACGCCACCATGCCCGGCTAATTTTTGTATTTTTAGTAGAGACAGGGTTTCACCATGTCGGCCAGGCTAGTCTCGAACTCCTGACTTCAGGTGTTCTGCCCGCCTTGGCCTCCCAAAATGCTGGGATTACAGGCATGAGTCATCGTGCCCGGCCACAAATCTCTTTTAAAAAGAAATCTCTTCTCCACTTGTAACTCACTTATCTTATTATCAAAAAACATAATTTCTGTCCTTTCTCTGTGACAGATAAGTTTTACGTTTTGAGAAGGTTCTGGGAGAGACAGGTTGTACAAGAGAAAACATTCTTGTTTATTAGAGCCATAAACAGCTGATATGAATCCCAGCTCTGCCACTTACTAACCGTGTCCCAGGCTAAGTCATGTAATCTTTCTGGGCTGTTCCCTCATCTCTGGAATGGGGGTAATCACAGCTTCTTTTCTAGGTTATAAGGAGTAGAAATTATGCCTGGTGCTGTGTTTGTAATGCAGGGTTCAGTGACCTGTAGATGTTTTTAAAATAAAAAGCCTTATGGATAAGTCAGATTAGGTTTAAACAATTAAAAAGTTAATTCTGTTTACCAATTGTAGAACGCACAGGTTTTTCCCATGTTAACATCTCTGAAGATGTGTCTGTGGCGTGCCAGCGTTTTTCTCAATAGCTTTATAAAATAATGGTGCTCCTTCCATTTGGTGGTGTTTTACACAGAATGTGGTAGTGAGGTCAGCAGAGTAAAGTGTTACAGAGAGAAGTGTTTCAAGTGCTTTAGGGTTGTGTCTGTAAAGCCTGAATATGAGACTTGGTAGTATGAGGTCTAATGGGGGCAACTCTCCCCCTGCCCTGTTCCCAGTCCCAGACTTGAACCTGAGAGCAACTGTTTCTATGAAGTTTATTTGAAAAATGTGTGTTAAACCTTTTCAGGGCCGGGCGCAGTGGTTCACACCTGTAATCCCAGCACCTTGGGAGGCCGAGGCGGGTGGATCACCTGAGGTCAGGAGTTCAAGACCAGCCTGGCCCACATGGTGAAACCCTATCTGTACTAAAAATACAAAAAAATTAGCCAGGCGTGATGGCAGACGCCTGTAATCCCAGCTACTCCAGAGGCTGAGACAGGAGAATTGCTGGAATCCGGGAGGCAGAGGCTGCAGTGAGCCGAGATCATGCTACTGCACTCCAGCCTGGGTGACAGAGCAAGACTCCATCTCAAAAAACAAAACAAAACAAAAAAAAAACCTTTTTAGATTCAATGAGATGACACAGCGCAGATCATCCCTCAGCAGCCTGTAGTGTTTGAGATGACACAGCGCAGATCATTCCCCAGAAGCCTGTACTGTTTCCCACACACAGTGCACGTGAGGGGAGCGATGGAGGGTGGGTGTGATCCCTTCTCAAGTCCTGCTGCTCTGCTGTGTCCACTGCTGTCATCTCTCAGGGACTGTTTTGAGGACTGAATGGGATGTTGCCTGGAAAATACCTGGCACTTACTTGATTCCATAAATAACAGCTGGTCATACTCTCCATCTCCTTGGCAACCATTCCTGGTCTTTTTTGTCTCTTTCAGTCTAATAAAGTTCCTGTCGTTCAGCACCCGCATCACATGCATCCGCTGACTCCCCTCATCACCTACAGCAATGACCACTTCTCCCCCGGCTCCCCTCCCACCCACCTCTCCCCAGAGATCGATCCAAAGACAGGTAAGTCGTCTGCCACTCAGGCAGTGCTGCTGCAGGGCAGGCGGGCTTCTCTTTTGTGGGAACATAACAGCCCTTGAATCAGGCTGACCTGGGTTCAAATCATGGCTCTTTGTCTCAGGAGTCTTTGGACCTTGTCTGCTAACTTTAGCCTTGTCATTTTTTTTTTCATCTGTGCCTCCCCTGTACCTTCTCCACCATAGGGTCACGATAAGGCCCACAGGAATTAAATGCAGTAAAGCACAGGGCCTGGCTCCATAGGCAGTGTGTGGGGTGGCTCTGCCCAAGTCTAGCCCAGCTGTGGGCCGTGCTTCCCTACACCAAGACATGTTTGCCCTAAACTGAACATTTTTAAATAGATTCATCAGTCTAAGCAGACACAGAAGTGCAACCGTAAAGCAGTGAGGCCAAACTGGCTTTTATTTATTTATTTATTTAAGACAGTCTTGCTGTGTCGCCCAAGCTGGAGTGCAGTAGTGTGATCTCAGCTCACTGCAGCCTTGACCTCCCGGGCTCAAGCAGTCCTCCTCCCTCAGCCTCCCGAGTTGCTGGGACCACAGGCGCATGCCACCATGCCCTTGCCCAGCTAATTTTTGTATTTTTAGTAGAGATGGGTTTCTGCCATGTTGCCCAGGCTGGTCTCAAACTCCTGGACTCAAGCAGTCAACTCACCTAAGTGCCGGGATTACCGGTGTGCCACCATGCCCAACCTGAACTGGCTTTTTTTTCTTTTTTTTTTTTTTAACTTGCCCACCAGACCTGTCCATTCCAGGGAGCCACTGTCTTTATAGCATTCACACAGAGTTGCCAGGGGAAGGCAAAGCATTTTTGGAGCCCCTCTTTGGAGAAATAACAGTCACTACAAGTTACAGATAATGAGGAAGACACATGTGGAGGAGGAATCCAAAGTTTATTTCTCCATGAATGAGGCGGGCTTTCTAGAGACTTGGTTCACCAGTGACTCTTGTCATTGGTCTTGTGGGTCCTGTCCCTCTCTTCCAGGACGCTGGCTTCTGTATCACAGCCAGCTGGAAGATACTCTTCACAGAGATAGAATCCGTGCAGCTAGAGAGGGGGTGCATTAGTCCTGCCTCCCCTGAATATGTCCTTGACTGACTGGTGAGAGCTGCTAGGGAGTTGACAGAGGGCAAGGACAATGACACAAGCACCTGCTAGGCTCCAGAGCACCAGGGACATAGGGCAGGATGCTCCCATTTGATGTTCGTTAAGGTGCTCTGGCAGGGCGAGGGAACAGTCTGACATATCTCTCTTTGGAAGCAGGAATCCCCCGGCCCCCTCACCCATCCGAGCTGTCACCGTATTACCCACTCTCTCCCGGAGCTGTCGGACAAATCCCCCACCCCCTCGGCTGGCTCGTCCCACAGTAAGGAACCCACAGCCTCTCTTCCCCCTGCTCCCTCCTTGCGCTGAGCTCTGCCTCTGTGCCCTGCGCGCCCTGCACAGTGGAGCCCCCTCAGAGGCAAGCCCAGGACTAGGCCTCCCTGCCCCCGCCCAGGCAGCGTGCTCCCAGCATTACCTTCCCGCTTCCTTCCCATATTTCTCATCCCTTCTTCCCAAGTGCCTCTCTTCCTCTGCCCTGAGCTTTCCCAATATGCTGACCAGATTTCCTCCCCCTCACAGGCAAGGCCAGCCCATGTACTCCCTTCCTCCCGGTGGCTTCCGGCACCCTTACCCCGCCCTCGCCATGAACGCCTCGATGTCCAGGTGAGTCCCGGGGCTGGGGCTGTCCGCATGTTTGTCTTAGCAACCACGCCATTTCTGACCACGAAACAGCTTTTTCTTGCCAGTTAATGAGCAGGCACAGGGCTCACCCTCCCCCCACCTCTCTTTGATCAAGCATCTTCTCACGTCCCGCGCTCCCCACCCCCAGGTCAGAATGGAGACCACAGGATCACTGTCCCCATCTCTCCAACAGAAGGATTGCAAAGCCCTAGCACTCTGCCTCCTGCCATGGGCTCTGGCACTGAAGCATTTTGAGGACAGATGCTCCCCGACTTAGGATGGAGCCGCGTCCTGATAAACCCGTCGTACATTGAAAACACAACTTTCCCCTTAGAATATTTGCAACATATGATGGTTTTATCCAGACATAACCCCATCTAGGTCAAGGAGAGTACTGAATTAATATCGTTTTTGCACCATCGTAAAGTCAAAATATCCTAAGTCACGGACTGTCTGTATATCACACTGAAGCTAGGGACTGGGAGAAGATGAATTTTTCCTGAAATGATGTCAGGAGAGGAGACGGTGAAAGGGGATTTCTGTCTCAGGGACCAGCTCTACCTGACAGTGGAACCTCTGAGGACAGAGGAAAGCTGCCCACAGCCTAAGCCCTTCTTTTCCCCAGTATGCCCGGGCCTCTGACCCTCCTCCCCTTTTGTGTGTTTCATCCCACCTGCTTCCAGCACCAGATGGGCAGCCTGGGTGTTGGTGGGGAGAAGGAAGAGCCATTAAGCATCTCCCAAACCTGGTTTTCTAGAAGACGACAAATAGCCTTCTAGTCCTGAGACTCTGCCCCACGGACATGCCTGTGCCCTTAAGGCAGAGAGCCACCGTGTCCTCTGCTGGGTGGCAGGTATCCAGCCTGAACCCCTCTGTTGCCATTTGTTTCTATCCGGTGCACAGCCTGGTCTCCAGTCGGTTCTCTCCTCACATGGTGGCTCCTGCCCACCCTGGCCTGCCCACCTCAGGGATCCCCCACCCTGCCATCGTCTCCCCCATCGTCAAGCAGGAACCGGCACCCCCCAGCCTGAGCCCTGCAGTGAGCGTGTAAGTAAGCGGCAGCCTGGATTCAGGTGGGAGGGTGCAGGCTGTGGGGAGGGGTGGCCACACTCTGAGCAGCAAATGTCATGTACTCTTCTCTCTTGGTGTCACTCAGCAGGCATCACAGCCTCCCCAGCCAGGCCCTCCCTCTTCCTCGGGACTTACTCCCTCTGACCTTCTGGGTCCCTGTCCTTTCAGGGACATGGTGCATCTTCTCTCTTATTAAGGAAAGTTTTACTGTCAGGTCTCAGAGGCTGAAAGAGAACCTGAGAAAGCTTTTAACACCCCACCGTAAGATATATGAAAAGGTGAGGCCCAGAAAGGAGACAGTGTTTTCTTAAGGACTTGTGGTGGGCTGGTGGCCGAGCTGAGATGAGCACCAGGGTCCTTACCTTGCCCGTGTACCATAAAGATGGCAGGAAGCCAAAGTCAGTGCTCCCTGGAGATCCCAAGAGAACCCCCTCCCAACTTGGTTCTGCCCAGAGTGCCCCACACTGTGTCCTGTCACCGCCGCCAGCACCTGCCAGCTCCAGTGAGAGCTCATCTCAGCAACCCCACCATGCTCTGTTCCTCTGTCAGGAAATTGGAGAGTAGATTTTCAAAGAATCTGGCGTGGAGATCGTTCAAAGGTGGGAAACTACGGGAGGAAGGTACTCAGGTGTTGAGTGCAGCCATGGGGCCACTTGAATTAGCATCCAGGCAGCCCGCGCCCCTCCCCAGAGACAATCAGCGGTGTTTCAGTGACAGGTGGGGATTGATGAGTTGTGTGACACCTGACATGCTAACCTACAACCACGTGCCTTCCCAGGAAATCACCAGTCACCGTGAAAAAGGAGGAGGAAAAGAAGCCCCACGTGAAGAAGCCTCTGAATGCCTTCATGTTGTATATGAAGGAGATGAGGGCCAAGGTGGTGGCTGAGTGCACCCTGAAGGAAAGTGCAGCCATTAACCAGATCCTTGGAAGAAAGGTAAGACCTGCCCTCTCCCTCCAGGCCAGGGAGGCAGCGTCCCTGCATTGATGGCTCCGTGTGGTCTCTGACCCTCTCTCCCCCAGTGGCACAACCTGTCTCGAGAAGAACAGGCCAAGTACTACGAGCTGGCCCGGAAGGAGCGGCAGCTTCACTCGCAGCTCTACCCAACCTGGTCAGCCCGGGACAACTATGTAAGTGCACACTCTGGGCAGAGGACGCTCAGACCCCAGGAACAGCCTCTGCAAGAGGAGGAAGGGTGAAGGAAAGCAACTGCATTTATTTTTATTTATTTTATTTTCTTTTATTTTTTGAGACAGAGGCTCACCCTGTCACCCAGGCTGGAGTGCATGCAGTGGCGCGATCTCGGCTCACTGCAAGCTCCGCCTCCCCGGTTCACACCATTCTCCTGTCTCAGCCTCCCGAGTAGCTGGGACTACAGGCACCTGCCACCACACCCGGCTAATTTTTTGTATTTTTAGTAGAGACGGGGTTTCACTGTGTTAACCAGGATGGTCTCGAGCTCCTGACCTCGTGATCCGCCCACCTCGGCCTCCCAAAGCGCTGGGATTACAGGCGTGAGCCACCGCGCCCGGCCAGCGACTGCATTTATAGAGGACTCTTAAGATCAGGGAGAAGCCCATACTTCTCTAGAAATAAGGAAGGTGTTTTAATTCTCAGGAGGTCAACAAGTCCTGAGGACGGACTTCAGTTGATGCATTTCCCTTTGAACTGGACTCTGCCCTCGATTTCATAACACAGGGCACGGGGTTAGCTGTGGTAGGAAGAGTTGTCTCCAGCCACTCCTAACCCAGGGCTCAAAGACCAGTGTGTGAGCCTCAGGGGGCGTGTCTCTAAGCTCCCGGAAACCAAGCCAATTTTCGCATGCGTGTTCTTCTTTGCTTTTTTTCTGGTAAGAGGACCCACAGTTGCATCAAACTTTCAAAGGGACCTGGGACCCCTCAGAAAAGATCTAGAAGCACTGTTCTAGGGAGAGAAACAGAAAAACAGAGTCTGAAGGGCAGTGGAGGGAGGAGGCCTTCCAAGAAGGCCTGGACACCCGACCTGGAGGGGAAACGCGTTTGTAGGGGAGGAAGGGCTCCCTCTGCCTCCTCACGGGCTCCCACGGCTGTGATCTGAATTATCTCTCCACACTCTCCCTGAGGGATCGAGAGCAGTAAAGGGCAACGTCCTGTCTTCTCTCTGATCTGGGAGCCCCTGAGAAGCCAGCATTCTTCTCTCCCAGCTTACCTCTTCCTTTGGCTGTATTTTCCAGGGTAAGAAAAAGAAGAGGAAGAGAGAAAAGCAGCTGTCCCAGACACAGTCACAGCAGCAAGTCCAGGAGGCAGAGGGTGCGTCTCGGGGCACTGGCCTCTTCTCCTGCTTTTCCTTTTGTCACAGCCACACCTGCCCATGCTGTCTCTAGCTCCCTGATGGGTCAGGGCTTCTGCCTCGGTATTCGCGGGCGGGTATTATTACCCCTTTCTCGAGGTGGCCACTTAAGAGGCTCTGAGATGTGAAGGCATTTTCCCAGGCACTCTGCTTCAGTGGTGGTGGTAGGATTTGATCCCAGGACTTTGTCACTTCAAAGCCTAGACAATCTAATTCCATTGAAAAGTGAATCATCCTACCTGAGGGTTAATGGAATGAGGTTGAAATTGTCTTTGAAATACCCTTAGGAAGGCAGCACATGAGCCCCTGACATCCCACCTGTCAGTGGATCCAGGGGAGCCCGGGTTTCCTTGGATGTTTCTTTGGTTGAACACCAGAAAAAATTAGTTTGCTTGGGTTTAGGAGGCACTTTGTGTCAAAACCATGTATAAAATCTCTATATTACCAGAATCATGCCTAGCACAGAAAGATGCTCACACTGTGACGATTATTATTAATATTTAGGTCACGCCCCCCATCTCATGCTCACTCCAGGACAAGTGTATCGCTGCTTGCACGATGTAAAGTGCTTTCAATCTCTCTTCTTCATTCCTCCCTCCCTCCCTTTCTTCCTCCCTCCCTTTCACCTTCCCTCCCATTCTCCTTCCCTCCCTTTCCCCTTCCCTCCCTCCTTTTCTCCCTCCCTTTCTCTTTCCCTCCCTCTCTTTCCCTCCCTCTCCCCCTCCTTCCCTCCCTTCCCCCCCTCCCTTTCTTCTTCCCTCGCTTTCTCCTTCCGCCCTCCCTTTCTCCTTCCCTCCCTCCCTATTTCCTTGCCTCCCCTCCTCCCTTCCTTCCTTCCTTCCATTATACATAGGAGCGCACATGAGTGGAACCCGTACCTGCTACAGAACCCGCTGTCTGGCACGCTGTTCAGCAGGCATGCACTCTCTCTGACTGTATTAATACCATAAACCAAAGATTTCAAAGCAAACTGGAGATTCATCCCAAAAGTTACCAGCTTTAGGAAAGGAGGGTGGTCCTGTGAGACACTGAGCCGTCTTCTCTCCGATCTGATGCTGGGTGGATCTTCATCAGTTTGGGCGTTGCCTCTTCTCTGTGCTCTGGGTATTTGTGAATGCAGTTTCCTAGTCTTGAAAGCCTTGGAAGTAATGTCAGGTCCTCGCCAAAATCATCCCTGTGTCTCCAAAGCACATGTATCGCCAGGGCTGTTCCTCAGCCTCCTCCTCTCACAGAGCTATAGCTGCTCACTCTTTCTTGTATTTTCCCCCTAGGTGCCCTGGCCTCCAAGAGCAAGAAGCCATGTGTTCAGTACCTGCCCCCCGAGAAGCCCTGTGACAGCCCTGCCTCCTCCCACGGGAGCATGCTGGACTCCCCGGCCACTCCCTCTGCAGCTTTGGCCTCACCAGCTGCCCCTGCTGCCACCCATTCGGAGCAAGCCCAGCCCCTCTCCCTCACCACCAAACCAGAAACCCGGGCCCAGCTGGCTCTCCACTCTGCCGCCTTCCTGTCGGCTAAGGCTGCAGCCTCCTCCTCTGGGCAGATGGGCAGCCAGCCTCCCCTCCTGTCCCGGCCCCTCCCCCTTGGGTCCATGCCCACAGCTCTGCTGGCCTCTCCCCCGTCCTTCCCCGCCACGCTCCATGCCCACCAGGCCCTCCCGGTGCTACAGGCCCAGCCTCTTTCCCTGGTCACCAAGTCTGCCCACTAAGCTCCCCCCGACCCCTGCAGGCTGTCACATGACTCATTGAGTAGTAATGATTCAGAAGAAAAAGAAAAAGGAGACTTTATTGGTCAATATTTGACCACTCTGGACTGTTCTGTAAAGTGGCTGGTAACAACAGCACTTTACAGTTTGTAGATGTAACCAGTAGCTGATCTTAAGGCTTTTTTAAAAAACAAAACAAAACAACAAAAAAAAATCTTTATAAGAAAGAGAACTGAAAAGTAGCGTGCTATTCGTCCTGTAGGTGCTGTGGTGGATGGACCTGGGCAGAGGGCACTTCTCTCTCTTACCTCTCTTGCACTTTCTGTCTCCTGTCTCTTCTCGCCCCTGCCGCCTGCCCCAGCTTCCCCGACTCCATCTGCAGCTCTGCCATTGTGACATTTCCTGTTACCCAGCCCAAGTTTTCATCGTCTGCTCAATACCGTGGGTTCTTCTTCGTCCTCTGTCCTCTGCCCAGTGTGAGGCCATCACCATGTGAGAAGACATCTTGGCCTGATTTGCTGCCACCAGCGTCCCCTCCCTCAGTGGGCCCGAACTCGCCAGCCCCAGCTTTCAGTGGAGAAAGCGGTCCTCTGAAATGGTTTCCTCCCAACCCCCGCATTTAAAGGGACTCAAGGTGCCTGCCACTTCCTCAGCGAAGAAGTCTGTGTTCCTCCCCGTCCTTGCCAGTGGCGATCATCCCTTCACAATCCCAGAGTGGCAGGCGGGACCGGCCCCATGGTCTGGCTCCTGTCACCTGGGTCCGTGCCAGCACAATCTGCCAAAGTTCTAGAGACCCTGTTCCCTTCCCCATCACCTCACATGCTTCTTCTGTGTGTATTTCTTTTTGTTTTTATGGTTTTTGGAGCAATTTAAACTCCCAGTTGTTTATTTTCACAAAAGAAAATAAAATTGCAGTTGCAAGACCTTTTCTGAGTGTTTCTTTAGTGCTTTTGTTGAATCAAACCACCTGTTTGTTTCACTCCCAAACCCTGTGTTAGACTTTCGCAGATATGCAAAGGAAGATTGCCACTTGCCACAGGGGAATGTTAGGCATGCCTGACACCCTTAGAAAACCTGAACCCAGCTTCCTGTCTCAAATGTGCATGGGCCAGTCAGTGTCCATGACTGAGCTGCAAAGGGGGTAATCATTTTCACAGCTGATTTAAATGAATTTGCCGCCTGGAATGACATTCAGCTTATGCTTCTATCACCCATTTGACTCGTAATTGCCAAGATGTGAGGAAGCATCTTTTGGATACTTTCCATAGTATCTAGCACCACAATTAATTTTTTGTAACAGCTTTATGGAGATATACTTCAGCCATTTAAAGTTACACTTCACCCATTTAAAGTATACAGTTCAGCTGGGCAGAGCCGCTCTTGCCTATAATCCCAATGCTTTGAGAGGCTGAGGCAGGAAGATGACTTGAGGCCAGGAGTTCAGGACTAGCCTGGGCAACATAGCAAGACCTGATCTCTTTAAAAAAAAAAAAAAAAGCAACTAGCTGGGGATGGTGGCACACAAGCCTGTAGTCCCAGCTTCTCAGGAGGCTGAGGCAGGAGGATTGCTTGAGCTCAGGAGCTCAAGACTGCAGTGAGTTATGATTGTGCCACTGCATTCCAGCCTTCTCAACAGAGTAAGACTCTGCCTCAAACAAAAAAGGTATACAATTCAGGCTGGGTGCGATGGCTCACACCTGTAATCCTAGCACTTTGGGAGGCCGAGGCGGGTGGATCACCTGAGGTCAGGAGTTCGAGACCAGCCTGGCCAACATGGCGAAACCCCGTCTCTACTAAAAATACAAAAATTAGCCAGGCATGATGGTGCGCACCTGTAATCCCAGCTACTTGGGAGGCTGAGACAGGAGAATCGCTTAAACCCGGGAGGTGGAGGTTGCAGTGAGCCGAGACAGCGCCATTGCACTCCAGCCTGGGCAACAGAGCAAAACTTCATCTCAGAAAAGAAAAAAAAGTAGACAATTCATTGGCTGTATGTTCAGAGTTGTGCACCTATCACCAGTCAATTTTAGAAAGTTTTTGTCAGTCCCAAAGGAAGCCCCATATCCTTTGAAAATCACTCCACATTTTGCCCATCTCCCCCAGCCCTAGGCAACCACTAATCTACTTTCTGTCTCCAAACTTGTCTATTCTAGACATTTCATATACAGTCATGCATCGCTTAGCAACTGAGACAACGTTCTCACAAATGCGTCGTTGGGCAATTTTATTGTGTGAACATCATAGAGTGTAGTTAGAAAAACCTAGATGGTGTACACACCTAGGCTATATGGTATAGCCTATTGCTCCTAGGCTACAAGCCTGTACAGCATATGCTACTGTACTGAATACTGTAGGTGACTGTGACACAGTGGTGAGTGTTTATGTATCTAAACATAGAAAAGGTGGCTGGGCGTGGTGGCTCACGCCTGTAATCCCAGCACTTTGGGAGGCCGAGGCAGGTGGATCACTTGAGGTCAGGCAGGTGGATCACTTGAGGTCAGGAGTTCGAGACCAACCTGGCCAACATGTTGAAACCCCATCTCTACTAAAAATACAAAAATTAGCCAGGTGTGTGGCACATGCCTGTAATCCCAGCTACTTAGGAGGCTGAGGCACAAGAATCACTTGAACCCGGGAGGCAGAGTTTGCAGTAAGCCGAAAGCGCACCACTGCACTCCACCCTGGGCGACAGAGTGAGACTCTTTCTCAAAAAAAACAGAAACAAAACATAGAAAAGGTGCAGTAAAATCTGGTGTAAAAGATAAAAGATGGGCCGGGTGCAGTGGCTCAAGCCTGTAATCCCAGCACTTTGGGAGGCCGAGCAGGGTGGATCACCTGAGGTCAGGAGTTAGCGACCAGCCTGGCCAACATGATGAAACCCCGTCTCTACTAAAAATACAAAAAGTAACTGGGCGTGGTGGTGGGCGCCTGTAATCCCAGCTACTCAGGTGGCTGAGGCAGGAGAATTGCTTGAACCCAGGAGGCAGAGGTTGCGGTGAGCCGAGATCGCACCGTTGCACTCCAGCCTGGGCAACAAGATCAAAATTCTGTCTTGGGGAAAAAAAAAACAAAAAACAAGATAAAAGATGGCATAGCTGTATAGGGCATTTCCCAGGCATGGAGCTTGCAGGACTGGCAGCTGCTCTGGGTGCGTCAGTGAGTGGTGAGTAACCATGACGCTGTACACTTAGGCAACACTAGGTTTATAAAGAAATATTCTTCTTTCTTCAAGAATAAATTAACCTTAGTTTAACTTTTTTACTTTATCAACTTAAACACTTTTTGACTCTTGTAATAACACTTAGCTTAAAACGCAAATACACTGTACAGCTGCACAAAGATATTTTCTTTATATCCTTATTCTATGAGCTTTTTTCTAATTAAAGTCTTTTTTGGGGCTGGGTGCAGTAGCTTATGCCTGCTAATCTCAGCATTTTGGGAGGCCAAGGTGGGCAGATCACTTGAGATCAAGAGTTTGAGACCATGACCTCAAAACCCCAACTCTACTAAAAATATAAAAATTAGCCGGACACGGTGGCGGGCGCCTGTAATCCCAGCTACTAGGGAGGTTGAGGCAGGAGAATCTCTTGAACCCGGGAGGCGGAGGTTGCAGTGAGCTGAGATCATGCCACTGTACTCCAGCCTGGGCAGCAATGCGAGACTCCCTCTCAAAGAAAACAAAAACAAAAACATTTTTTTTTTTACTTCTTAAACTTTTTTGTTTAAAACAATAAAAATATAGCAAATACATAAACCAGTAACATAGTCATTTCGTTCATTAAAAAGTACTATAGGCCAGGCGCGGTGGTTCACGCCTGTAATCCCAACACATTGGGAGGCCGAGACGGGCAGATCACCTGAGGTCAGGAGTTCGAGACCAGCCTGGCCAACATGGTGAAACCTCTCTACTAAAAATACAAAACTTACCCGGGCATGGTGGCGGCCGCCTGTAGTCCCAGCTACTCGGGAGGCTGAGGCCAGAGAATCGCTTGAAGCCAGGAGGTGGAGGTTGCAGTGAGCCGAGATTGTGCCATTGCAACCCAGCCTGAGAGACAAGATCAAAACTCTGTCTCAAAAAAAAAAAATACTGCACATAATTCTGTGTGATAGACTTCTTTGTATGACTGGCAGTGCAGTGGGTGGCTCCACCAATGCCAGCCTCTCCTTCCCCTGCCCCATGTGGCTGGGTCTGCAGCCTGCTCGGCCTCCCCTCTCTCAGACCGGGGGAGCTGAGGGGGTGAGGTAGAGACGGCCCAGGGGCAGAGCAGGGGGGTCGGGCTTGGTGCACAGGCAGACTCTGCCTTTGCTACTTCCTGCCTCTCTCTCTGTGACCCTGACCTCCCTTCTCCCCTGTCCCAGGACCTCTGGGAACTGACACTGTCCTGGCCAGGCCCCAGCATCTCACCCAGGCAGCCCAGCTAGAGCCATCTGTCCCTCTTGCCCTCCATCTGTGTTCCTGTGTCTCTTCCTCCTGAACACAACCTGAGGGCCTCACAAATATTTAGTTACATGAACGAAGCAGGCCGGGCACGGTGACTCACGCCTTCAATCCCAGCACTTTGGGAGGACGAGGCAGGCAGATCACTTGAGGTCAGGAGTTTGAAAATAGCCTGGCCAACGTGGTGAAACCCCATCTCTACCGAAAATACAAACATTAGTGGGTGTGGTGGTACATGCCTGTAATCCCAGCTACTTGGGAGGCTGAGGCAGGAGAATCGCTTGAGCACGGGAGGCGGTTGCAGTGAACAGAGATCGCGCAACTGCATGCCAGCCTGGGCGACGGAGCAAGACTCCATCTAAAAATAAATAAATTTTTTAAAAAATGGAAAAAGCAGAGGAGCCAGGGACCCGGCATCCCTCTGGCACGGGAATGGGAAGACAGCAGAAGAATCTGTGGGGGCAGTTTCCGGAACACCGGTCTCAGGTCATCTGCTGAGGAGTGGGGAAGCCCAGCTGTTTAGGTCTGGGGAACATCAGGTGCCCCACAGTGGCTGTGGCCTCTGCCATAGTGTAGTTCTTCCCTCCTCCCTCCAGCTGAGTCCTGAGATGCCAAGTACCAGTCAGGCTGCCTGCCTTTGCTCACATGCATTGGCATCCCTCTGGAGGCCTTGTGTTCTGATGTCACACTAAGAATCATGCATGTTCACTCACTCCGTGACTGCATAAAAGTTCATCCTGAAATCAGGCTGGTAATGAGCTGCTGTTCATGTGTGGTCTTCATGGGGGGAACCCAGTCATGTGCTCCACACTTCAAGACACGAAGGGGAAGATGGGAGGCAGTAAGCTTGACCTTCCTGCAGGTGCTGAGCCAGCTCATGGGGGCTGAGGACCAGGGCTGGGCTTTACCTGCCTCTGAAGGGGCTTGGAGCAGAGGCAGGGGAGGTGGAAGAATAGGAACCTGGGGCAGTGTCCTTCCCAGGCAGGAGGACACAGAAGAGCAGGCCCCTGCCAACATCAAGTTGAAACAGCTGTAAAAGTGGCCTGGGCACAAAGCTGGCAACTGAAGATAAGGCTCAGGACACAGCGAGCGGTCACCCTGAGGCTCTCCTGGGAGCAGGGAGTGGCTGTCTCCGGCCATGGTCCACAAAGGCACCAACCACTCCCCTTTGCAGGTGTGAAGCAGCAGCTGGGGACAGTTCAGCCCGGCTTAGGCATGACCTCTGTTTTCATCTGCCTGCGAGGCACCAAGGAGGACCTGCATCTGCCGTCCACCAACTACTATGTTTACTATGACACGGACATGGACCAGGCGTAAGGTGCACGTGTGTGTGTGGCCCGTGCCTCCCTGCTTGACTCAGAGAACGAGCAGAAGTTATGGAATGGGAGGAAGTAGGCAATTTCCAATTTGCACCTGGAAGTTTGTCACACCAAGGCTGTGGCTCAGCTTCACCCCTGTGGGGAGTCCCTAGGGACGAGCAGTCCTTGCAGTGGTTCTGGGGTTTTGAGGACAAAAGCCTGGAGATCGCACCACACTCTTGTCACACGCAGGATGGAGCGCTACATCTCCATGCCCAGGGAAGAGGCTGCGGAACACATCCCTCTTCTCTTCTTCGCTTTCCCATCAGCCAAGGATCCGACCTGGGAGGACCGATTCCCACGGGGGGCTGCACGTCCTGGGTGAGGGGGTGGAGGGAGGGGCCGGGCAGTAGTAATATCAGCTCTGATCCCCAGGCCGGTCCACCATGATCATGCTCATACCCAGCACCTACGAGTGGTTTGAGGAGTGGCAGG
Source organism: Homo sapiens (assembly GCF_000001405.40). Classification (NCBI taxonomy): domain Eukaryota; kingdom Metazoa; phylum Chordata; class Mammalia; order Primates; family Hominidae; genus Homo; species Homo sapiens. Next base: position 241,877 of record NW_025791763.1, read on the forward strand.
TGGAACTGAAGGGAAAGTAGGGCAGTGACTATGAGACCTTCAAAAACTTCTTTGTGGAAGCCTCTATGTCAGTGGTCCTGAAACTGTTCCCACAGCTGGAGGGGAAGGTAGGGGGTAAAGTATTTGGGGTGGTGACGGACCTCATGGTGCTATTTCTGCCCTTTCCTTGAGACAGGGGAATTGGGCCCCAAGACATGAGCCCCAGGGAAGGACAGGGCACCCAACCCCGGAGTCAGTGAATGGGAAAGAGTGGAAGAGGGAGGGGAGCCAGGATCTCACATGCCTGCCCCACCCTTTCTGCCCTCAGGTGGAGAGTGTGACTGCAGGATCCCCACTCACCAACCAGTTCTATCTGGCTGCTCCCCGAGGTGCCTGCTACGGGGCTGACCATGACCTGGGCCGCCTGCACCCTTGTGTGATGGCCTCCTTGAGGGCCCAGAGCCCCATCCCCAACCTCTATCTGACAGGTATACTCACTGCCCCATGTTGTCAGGACCTGAGACCCTGGGCCCCTGTCGCCCAACGTCCTCTGTTCCTGCCCTCAGGCCCTGCTGTCCCCTGCAGCCTCCCATCCCCTGAGCAGGGCTGCCTGGGCAGGCTGTGGCCCCTGTCTGATTGGAGCCAGCTCTGGGTGGCCCTCATGTGGAGGGAAGAGCACCAAGGCCCCACCCTCCCCTGGGCCTGCCTGGGTGCACGCTCAGGGGCCTCTGCTCTTGCCTCCTAGGCCAGGATATCTTCACCTGTGGACTGGTCGGGGCCCTGCAAGGTGCCCTGCTGTGCAGCAGCGCCATCCTGAAGCGGAACTTGTACTCAGACCTTAAGAATCTTGATTCTAGGATCCGGGCACAGAAGAAAAAGAATTAGTTCCATCAGGGAGGAGTCAGAGGAATTTGCCCAATGGCTGGGGCATCTCCCTTGACTTACCCATAATGTCTTTCTGCATTAGTTCCTTGCACGTATAAAGCACTCTAATTTGGTTCTGATGCCTGAAGAGAGGCCTAGTTTAAATCACAATTCCGAATCTGGGGCAATGGAATCACTGTTTCCAGCTGGGGCAGGTGAGATCTTTCCACCTTCTATAATATGCCATCCCTACTAATAGGATATTGACTTGGATAGCTTGATGTCTCATGACGAGCGGCGCTCTGCATCCCTCACCCATGCCTCCTAACTCAGTGATCAAAGCGAATATTCCATCTGTGGACAGAACCCCTGGCAGTGTTGTCAGCTCAAGCTGGTGGGTTCAGTTCTGTCCTGAGGCTTCTGCTCTCATTCACTTAGTGCTACGCTGCACAGTTCTACACTGTCAAGGGAAAAGGGAGACTAATGAGGCTTAACTCAAAACCTGGGCATGGTTTTGGTTGCCATTCCATAGGTTTGGAGAGCTCTAGATCTCTTTTGTGCTGGGTTCAGTGGCTCTTCAGGGGACAGGAAATGCCTGTGTCTGGCCAGTGTGGTTCTGGAGCTTTGGGGTAACAGCAGGATCCATCAGTTAGTAGGGTGCATGTCAGACGATCATACCCAATTCATATGGAAGTCCCGGGTCTGTCTTCCTTATCATCGGGGTGGCATCTGGTTCTCGATGTGCCAGCATCAAGGCACCTTCAGGGAGCTCGGTACCCGAGCCTCAATCAAGCCTTATCCTCCAAATATGCAGGGAAAGGTGACACAGGGCAGGGAAGGGTGACGTCAGGAGTCAGGGCATCGACTGGTAAGATTACTTCATTGTGTTGAGGCAGGCTGCAGGGCATTCCACACAATGGCACAGCAGAGGACAGCACAGGGAGGCAACAGAGTGTTCCCAGCAATGGCCCAGCTACTGAAAGCAACACAGGCAGCCAGGCTGGGAGGAGTCAGGTGGCAAGAGAGTTGGTCAGGAGCAGAACATGGAAAGCCAGAGAAAGTGTGCAAAGCCCAGAAATGGCATCTGCAATTTACTGGTACATGTGTGTGTTGGATGGAAGGTGAAGGAAGGCTCAAAAGGCATAAAAAGGACCTTTCACTTATGTTAAACTGACATGCCAAAGGTCTTATTGGAGTTCATCTTAATATAATATTAATAAATTTATTGGCCGAGCGTGGTGGCTTACACCTGTAATCCCAGCACTTTGGGAGGCCAAAGTGGGCGGATCACGAAGAAGAGATTGAGACCATCCTGGCCAACATGGTGAAACCCCGTCTCCACTAAAAATGCAAAAATTAGCTGGGCGTGGTGGCACGCACCTGTAGTCCCAGCTACTCGGGAGGCTGAGGCAGGAGAATCGCTTGAACCTGGGAGGCGGAGGTTGCAGTGAGCCAAGATCATACCACTGCACTCCAGCCTGGTGACAGAGCAAGACTCTGTCTCAAAAATAAAATAAAATAAATAAATAAATAAATGTATTAAATCCATTGCTTTAACATTTTGAAATTTATTTTGGTTTCTGTTCAACAAAACCAAACCACATTGGGATGGCATTTACAGAAGCTCAGAAAAACATTATGCACTGAAAAATACTTCTCATTAGACCACAACAAGCTTTAAAAAAATAAAATTAAGTAATTATAGTTAAGTTACAAAAAGCTGAAAGTATAAAACATTGTGGAAACAGTGACCATCTATTAACTGGGAAAACACAAAAGAAGAGAAACAATTTCAACCATTAATCATTTATCAAACATGAAGTCTGGTGCATTAAAGGAATATCTATCAGAGGGTGAGGGGCTGGCTTACTGGCAGTTTGACATACTATACAGCTCAGACCCAAACCCTTCACAGAGAGACTCTAAGTGTACATCTGACTTGCAGAACTAGACGAGTTGAGTCACTGTTAGCTCTGGATATACCGTTAAATTAAACCTCAAAATCTCTCCCCAGGACTCTTGCTCAAGCAAGTCACGCCAAATCCAACCTTCCTAACAGGGGTTTTCAGAAAATGGCCTGCAGAAGCACAGGATCTGGTGCCTCACAGTTTCCTCCATGCTGCAATGCTCTAGTTCTCATCACGCCCATAGCATCTGGCATCAGGTTACCCTGTACAGTCAACGGCCATAGAAGTCGCCAGCAGGGAAATTCCAGAGGTTTAGAATTCTATCAGCACATGTGTCACTGGAAGCCATCATGGGAGTACTATGTCAGAGCGTATGTAACTAGCTGTCAGGTCTTTCCCCGTTGCCTCAGCCTTTCTACACAGACTGGCCTTCAACTTCCCGAGTCCAGAAGTAGACTCTTTCAGCAACTCTATTCAGGAATCTGCAGCAGGAAAACTGCTTCCTCTATTAACATCTATGACTGAAGCACAGATGTGTCTAGTAGAAATCACCCTTCACCCAAAAGCTGGGCGCAGAAAGGGAAGCCCTTAGCTGACTATAGGAGGTGCCTCTTGTGGCTCCACGTGCTTCTTACACACCACCCCCCAGCTTGAGCGATGCCTCAGCCAGCTCACCCTCATTCACACAATCGCTAGAAAACATGCTTCAAATATTCTATCTTTGAAAAGACACCATGCAGAAAATAAGCTTTCCTCTGATGTGCGGTATTTTCTTCAATGCTATTTCTTTCTTTTTTTTTTTTTTTTTTGAGACGGAGTCTCGCTCTATTGGCAGGTTGGAGTTCAGTGGCACGATCTCGGCTCACTGCAACCTCCGCCTCCCGGATTCAAGCAATTCTCCTGCCTCAGCCTATCTAGTAGCTGGGACTACAGGTGCACGTCACCATGCCCGGCTAATTTTTGTATTTTTATTAGAGACGGGGTTTCACCATGTTGGCCAGGATGGTCTCGATCTCTTGACCTCGTGATCCCCCCGCCTCGGCCTCCCAAAGCGCTGGGATTACAGGGGGAGCCACCGCGCCCGGCCTTTCTTCAGTGCAATTTTTAAAGAGAAACTTAAATCCTGTTGTATTCTTTCAACACAAGCAATGATACTTCTCAGAGTCTGCTCAAAAGCTCAGCTCTGTGGACTCCGTGACAAAATGTACGCGTCCACTGCCGACCCTCTTGGTTTCTGAAACCAACCTTTCTTCCTGCTCTCCTCTTTAAGAGCAAACCCCAACATGTATAAGGTCACAGCAAGTGGTAGCCAGGAAAAGCTGTGGGACCCCTCATTTGAGTCACATCCATATGGCATGGAGAAAGAAAACCTCTCTGCCAGAAGGAACTGAACTCTGGAAGTCCTAAGGAAGGTCACCATGCTCAGCAGATAGGAAAGCATTGCCAAGGGCTGTCCCTCAAGAGCTTAGTTTTCTTAGGGAGACCAGAAAGACATCAGATCCTGACTGCCCTGTTTTGCTCAAGTTCTGAAATGAGTGGCATGATGAAGAGCTGGTGGAGCTGAGGGAAAGAGTCAACCATGTGGGGTGGGGTAGTGAGGAAGGTGTATGAGGAAACAAACTGGGCCCTGACGAAACAGGCGGATTGGGGAAGGAGAAAGAAGGAAGGGAGAGAAACCTAACCAAAGAAACATGGGAAGCTGGAAAGTCGAGGGCACAGCCGGAATAAAGGCACAGATGGGCACCCCACAGGAGGGGCCTTGGCCAGGTTGGGATGCAGAGAAAAACAGGCAGGAGGGTGTCAATCTATAGCATCCTGAACCCCAAAAGGTCTGTAACTGGATTCTCTAAGCCTTGAGAAGTTCAGACCAAAGCTTCAGACCAGGGAAAATATTTTGGAAAGATCAGTCTTTCCAAGATTGAGCTCCTTTCCAAGAAGCTGGACAGGAAACCCAATAAATGTGGATCTGAAAAAACAAAATCCAAGAGAGAAGCAAAATGGGCTGGGGGTGTGCAATAAGAGAAGCAAGGAAAATGGAAAGACTGTAGCTGAGGATCTTTTATTAAAAAAAAATGGATGGGACTTTGGTGATGAGAGAGAAAAAGGGCAAAAGTCTGCAGTTAGGAATTTAGGTGACCGAAGACTGTCCTAGACAGTTGGGAGGGACAGGCTGATGGACAGAAGAGAGAAATTCCTTTCAATGACAACCAAGCTGAACTATTCGATACCAGCAGAACTGGGTTCTTTAGGGATTAAGCCAAGACAAAGACTTGGGAATCACTCACTCCGAGGATGAAGAATGGGTTAATGGCTGAGGAGACAGTCAAAGGAATAGAGAGGCCTGGCTTTGAGGGCCTCTTCACCACCAGCACAAGATAAGGCAAAGGACCATTTGTCAGAGACACCAAGAAAGGGGAATTTCCATTTGGATGGTCAATAGTGTCCAGTTCTGTCAAGGACAAGACTAAGCTTTGAGAAAAAGCCATGGATTTGGTGATTGGATAACTGGTAACCTTTAGAAAAGTTTAGTTGACAGACAGAGACCGAAGTGAGTTAGTAAAGTCATGAAGAGAATGAATGGCAACTTAAGGGAAGCAACATACTGGAGAAGTTGAGCAGCGGGATGAATAACAAATAGGACAGATGGGAACAGAAAAATCTGGGTGCATACGAAGGTGGATGGAAAGGAGCTGGTACAGATGGGCACAACCAGAAAACATGAGGAGGGGAAAGGAAGGGAAAAGGAAGGCAGGCAGGGAGAGAGACGTGAAATAGCCACAGTCTTAGGGGATGCTAGAGAAGCCTAGAAGATTCCTCAGGTTGGTGCAAAGTATTATAAGACTAACGCATCAGTACAGAGAATGACCCAAGAAGGGTAGGAGTTCATTCCTTACCTTCATAAAGTAGGCTATCCGCCAAGAATGAAAATGTCAACTCAAAGCTATGGGCTGTTTTAAGCAAGGTGGAAGATAATATAAGAAGCATGGTCCTTTCTTCAGACTTACTGCCTTGACAGCACAGAATTCATCTTATTTCCCTCATCTCCCAAGTTATTTGTATTTCCCTGAGATCAGCTCAGAAACAACTCTCTTTAGGCTCTCTACAATGCGGTAGAGCATGATTAGAAGAGATAAACCTTCAAACAATAGTGTTGTCCAAGACACTACCCTCACTTATCCCAGGGGAACCCACGGAATTTCTTCATTTGTATTAACTCCTGACATGGCATGGAAGAAGAATTTTTATCAAATACCCTTGGCATCTTATATCAGATTAAAGGACCATTAAATACACTGAGGTAAAATTGGCAGAGAGTATAGTTTCTATTAATAAATCTAAGTCTATTTTGTCTGTTTTAGGCAACAAAGGCAAAATGGACTTTGTGGGAAATGTATCTCATAAAAGCCCTTTGGAAAAACTGCAGACCAAAACCAAAACCCTCCTTCATGTTTTCTCGCATGAAACATAAACTTGCCCTATTTCAAAAAGTTCCTACTGAGTATGATTGTGTGAAAGATCACACTACTTCAAATCATATTTATTTTAAAAATCTGTGATGGGACAGTGGCCTCACTGCCAGGAAGCCCAAGTTCTGTTTTATGCTCGGTACAACTAAGTGGAAGTTGATTCACTTTGTCTCAAGCTACATAAAATAATCAGAAAATCAAGAAGATCTCATGCTAGACAGGTTAGACTTGCACCCAAAAAAGCATCTTTTTTTTTAACCTGCTGTTTTGGTTTGCTGCTGAAGTCTTTGAAGAGAATTATGTATTCAAAGTAGCTCTTTGCCCATTGGCATTTCCCCATCTTCTATGTCTTCTGTAGGGCACATCCCCCCCAAAGTAAGAGGCCTTAGTAGAAAAGCACTTCCACCTGCAGTTTTCCCCTAGGTCTGCAGAGAGAAACAGTGCAGAGTGCAATGCCACAGTCAAGGACCAACTTTCCTACAGAGCCCGGGCCCCAGGGAGGGTGGTCAGCAGCGCAGCCTGCCCAGGCTGGGATCTCCCTTTGGTCACAGCCGTGTTTCCATATACCTCTCCACTCACCCTCAGAGGAGGAACGGATGGAAGCCACCAGCATAAATAAAGGGAACACAGAAGAACAATGTCACCAAAGTGCAGGTGCAAAGCCCAAAGCAGCCCCCTACCTCTGCCAGCCCAGACCCGCCACTAAATTCTAGAGGAGGGTGTCTCTCAGGTCACAGTACTTTTTTCTTCATTTCTTTTGATTTAGAAACAAATCAGCAGGGAGGACAAGGTTCTCAAGGACAAAAAAATCAAAGCTGAAACGAGAGCAGCACAATCCATTGGTGACGTTCATCTTTTTCCAGAGGAATATACCATTCTGTTAGGACTTGGGGGAAAAAAGATCTTTTAGGAGGTGCAGGGAAAACATTCAGAATTAAGACATACTGACCCACCACCACAGAAACAGCAATTAATTAAAATAGCACACAAAATGATTTTTAAAGTTTGAAATGAAACCTAACACTAGAAAGATATACACTTGATGGAGAGAGAGGAATCCTGGCTTCTGCTTCATACTGTTCTGTACTGTTGTGAATTATTTACATGTGTTTTTTGTTGGTGGTGGTTTTCTTCTTTTTTGAGACGGAGTCTTGCTCTGTTGCCCAGGCTGGAGTGCAGTGGCATGATCTTGGCTCACTGCAACCTCTGCCTCCGAAGTTCAAGCGATTCTCCCACCTCGGCTTCCTCAGTAGTAGCTGGGATTACCATGCCCAGCTAATTTTTGTATTTTTAGTAGAGATGGTATTTCACCATGTTGGCCAGACTGATCTAGAACTCCTGACCTCAGGTGATCTGCCTCCCAAACTGTTGGGATTACAGGCGTGAACCACTATGCCCAGCCACATGTGTATTTTTTTAAAAATCATAAGCCATGTGTGGTGGCTCACGCCTGTAATCCCAGCACTCTGGGAGGCTGAGGTGGGTGGATCATTTGAGGTCAGCAGTTCAAGACCAGCCTGGCCAAAAGGGTGAAACCCCATCTCTACTAAAAATCTAAAAATTAGCTGGGCGTGGTGGTGGGCGCCTGTAATCCCACCTACTCGGGAGGCTGAAGAGGGAGAACTGCTTGAACCCGGGTGGTGGAGGTTGCAGTGAGCCAAGATTGTGCCACTGCACTCCAGCCTGGACGACACAGCAAGACTCCGTCTCAAAAACAAACAAACAAAAATCATAAAAGGGGGAAAACCCTTAAAGTCAATTATCTGAAAAGGCAGTAGTCCAGAGCTAAATTGTAAAGCTAGCCTACTGGACTAGTTAGCAAAGATATTCTGAGCTCAGTGGCTCGTTCTGTAGCTAATATTGAGTTGTGCAAGAGAATCGTGTTCCCTGCAGGAAGTCTGGGAACAATTCATAGTTGGGCCACCAATGGTTCTTTGCCAATGTCCTGGCTGTTGCTATGCTGAAAGCAGAAGGAAGGGTGCATGCTGGTAGCAACGCAGTGAGAGTACAGTCTTCCTGCTTAGACAGGTTGTCTTTAGAGAGACCCTTGCTTAGCTCTGCTGCCATGGGGTGGAAGGAGGGCTTATCTGTCTGACAGAGGAATGGATTGGCTGTACTCAGGAACTCCAGCCTACGGTGCTTAAGCCAGGCTGATGTGGGGAGTTGGAGGCCTATGTGCTTCCAGGCTCGTGTTTCCAGGGAGCATAGTCTAGCACTTTACCACACAAAGTGTGGATCCAGTGGCATTTGGTTTCACCTGGGAACTTCCTAAGAATGTAGACACAGGCCAGGCACGGTGGCTTATGCCTGTAATCTCAGCACTTTGGGAGGTCGAGGCGGGCGGATCACCTGAGGTTGGGAGTTCGAGACCAGCCTGACCAACATGGAGAAACCCATCTCTACTAAAAATACAAAATTAGCTGGACGTGGTGGTGGCGCCTGTAATCCTAGCTACTCGGGAGGCTGAGGCAGAAGAATCGCTTGAACCCAGGCAGCAGAGGTTGTAGTGAGCCGAGATTGCACCATTGTACTCCAGCCTGGGCAACAAGAGCAAAACTCCATCTCCAAAAAAAAAAAAAAGAATGTAGAAATATAGGCTCCACCCCACATCTAATGAATCAGATAATGCTTTTTATCAAAATTCCCCAAGGTGATTCAAATGCCTATTAAAGTTTATGGAGCGCTGGCAGAATGCAGAAAGCTCAGGACTGGGAGACGAGGGAGTTGCTATCAGGTCCTGAGTTTGCCACTAACTTGCAGTAGAAACTTAGCGGAAAAAAAAAAAAAAGAGTGTTTCTGCATGGGCCTATTTCCTCATCTGTGAAGGGAGGTAGCTGCTGTAGAGTATTCCAAGGTCTCTGCTAGCTCTAACGTCACAGATATGTGTATCTAGATGTTTCTAGTTTGTTGTCTAAAAAGGGCGAATGCAACAGCAACAGCAACCGCATCCCCAGAATCAGCCACTGCTGCTTCATGGCAAATGCAAGCCCACTACTGGGTCCATCTGACGTTGCCTATCCCTCCTATCCCTCCCATGGACCTGGCTCCTCCTTCCTTACCTTCTGGTCCAAACGTTGGTAGTCACTGGCCTTTGGCCGCCGGGTGACTTTAGATCTTTTTCCTTCCAGGACAAAAGCAATGATCTGAGGAAAGGAAAAAGAAAATGATTAACAGGTGGCTCTGTAATGACATAGTTCAGTCTCTGAAATCAGAGGCAGTCACCTGGTAGCATATTTGTTAATGACCCTGACTGTAGAAAGAGCAGTACACTCACAGAGGTCTGTTTAAACTATAACCATTTTAAGAAAGACAGAGCCTAATTACATCAGAATCCTTTGTATTGCTTAATAGGAAATAACAAATAGAAGGCTGTCTGAGCTCTAGCGTGTGGGAGGAAGTCTGTTTGATTTATTCAAAGGTACACAGTCAAAGATCTATCAACTCCTTCCTAGAGATATCTAGGATATAGGACATTCCTTTAAAAAAAGTCATAATCAGAATTTCCTATCTACAAATGTACTTTTTCACCCCACGATGCTACATCAACTACATTCTTTATCAATCTCATTTCATGACTAAGGTTACCCTGCATAATGGACACTTGGACATAGAATAAGAAATACACTTTTTTTTTTTCTTAGAGGCAAGGTCTCACTCTGTCACCCGGGCTGGAGTGCAATGGCGTGATCATGGCTCACTGAAGCCTCGACCTCCCACAGTCAAGCCATCCCCCCACTTCAGCCTCCTGAGTAGCTGGGACCACACACGTCCACCACCACATCTGGCTAATTTTTTTATTATATGTAGAGACGAGGTCTTGCTATGTTGGCCAGGCTGGTCTTGGACTCCTGGGCTCAAGCGATCCTCCTGCCTCGGCCTCCCAAAGTGCTGGGATTAGAGGCAGGAGCCACTGCACCGGGCCAGGAATGCACATTTTTACTAAAGGTCTTCCCCTTTATTCTTTATAGCCATAGGCCTTATGGCCAGAATTGGACTCTCCAATTTTAAGCAGGTTACAGAAACTAGCTTCTAAATGTTGGGGGCTCAATATGAAATGCAATCATTTTGTCATTAGAGTGGTTGCTAATAAACAGACCAAACCCTGATGAAAAAGTAACAGGTGTACGTGTCTGTGCAATTTCTGGGCTTTCTTCTAATTATTATTAATTGCAGAAGTCCCTGGGCTCTTTGGTCCTGGTATCGAAGACGCAGTAATTGAAACCATTCTTTGTGCCACTGCTGATGGAAGAGAGAATGTTGGGAAAGGAAGCTAGAAATGACATATCGTCTCAAGAAGGGAAATAGGATGGAAGGTACGTGCTTTAACTGTCAAGTACTCAGGTCCTCTGAGGCTGTGAAGGACCTAAGTGCAAAGTTATGGGAGGAGATTCCAAGTCAGGTCAGATCCTAATAATGTCCTAACTTGGCTCCTAATGCAGTAGCAGAGGACACTCAGAGTAAACAGGTGACAGGATGAAAACACGATTAACAAAACAAGAGTAAAGAGGCCTAATAGGGCCTGAGGAAAAAACTGAAGTTTGTTTTAAAGTCCCCAGTGCTCACGGGCATCTAGTGACGGGATACCCACCCACACCCAAGCTTCCAGGGTGCTGGAAACCCCACTCCCCTCCGGAAGGCCGCTGTCGACTTACCTTCCGCTTGTTGTGATGAGCGATATAGAGGACAGCCACAAGAATGGCTGCAGTCACCAGATATGCAAAGAAGTGGCTGCTCTCCGCGCTGCCATTTCCAGAACCGTTCGGATAAAGGTCATCCTTCTCGCTACCCGTGGAATCCGAAAGTGTTCCTTCACGGTTCTCACTGGAGGCAGAACCGGACATCTTTTCTTTCTCTTCTTTGGGCGGTGAGCCCTCCTCGGGTCCTGTATCATCATCTTCAGCCTCTTTGGGCTCCACATCCTCAGTAGGCTCTGAAGACTTAACTTCCTCCTGCGGGGGAGAAATGAGGTCAGTTTCCTCCCCAGATTCGGTTTTGAAAGCATGAGGAGAAAGCTTCCCTTTGTCAGCAAGCTGGTTTGTGTCAGCCTTGGGGAGCTCCTTGTTATCAGAAGGGTTGGAGATGGGCTTGGAATGGTCTTTCCAGGAAGGCTGCTCTGGAACCACCTTGTTAGGGCTGTCTTTTGAGGTCTGCTCCTCCGCACCCGACTTGCTGGGCCCGTCTATTGGGCCCTGCTCCTCTGCACCGGACTTGTTAGAGCCGTCTTTTGGAGTCTGCTTCTCCGCACCCGACTTGTTAGGGACGTCTTTTGGGGTCTGATCCTCCGCACCCGACTTGCTGGAGCCGTCTTTTGGGGTCTGGCCGTCCGCACCCGACTTATTAGGGACATCTTTTGTGGTCTGCGCCTCCGAACCTGACTTGCTAGGGCTGTCTTTTTGGGTCTTTGCCTCCGCACCCGACCTGTTGGGGCTGTCTTCTGGGGTCTGCGCCTCCGCACCCGATTTGCCAGTGCTGTCTTTTGGAGTCTGCAGCTCCGGATGCGACTTACTAGTGCTGTCTTTTGTGGTCTGCGCCTCCGAACCCGACTTGCTAGTGCTGCCTTTTTGGGTCTTTGCCTCCGCACCCGACTTGTTGGAGCTGTCTTTTTGGGTCTTTGCCTCCGCACCCGACTTGTTGGGGGTGTCTTCTGGGGTCTGCGCCTCCGCACTCGACTTGCTAGGGCTGTCTTTTGGAGTCTGCGGCTCCGGATGCGACTTGGTAGAGCCTCCAGGCCGTTGGCTCAAGCTGGGGTGGGTGGAGACGTTTCCTGCAGAAGGCCGTACTCCAGCTTCTTCTTGCTTGACGCTTTCGGTGGCCAAGAGCGGCACGGCTCCTGAAATAGAAAAACGAGTTAGCACCGGAGAAGGGCAGGCGGGAAGAAGGAACTCCTCAGAACTGGAAGAGATCGGGAGCAGCGGGGGAATGGGGATTGGGGGGTGGGGCGGGAGACGATGGCGAGCGGAGAGGTGGGTCGGGTAGGGAAGAAGCGAGCCTAGAGGTGACCTGCCCAGGTGAGAATGGGGGATCTGGGGGCAAGAGTGGGATGCGGGATGGAGGGTCTTACCCGCCGCTGCGACGTTCAGGAGGACCAAGGCAACCACGAACCGCATCCTGCTCGGATAGCGCTTCCGCCCTCTAATGCTCTCGCGAGATCCGCGCGCGGGGCCCCTCTCCAGTCCCGCCCCTGCTGCGCGCGTCTCTCAGTCTCCCGCTGCCGCCAAGACGAAGGGCGGGATTTAGGGGGCAGCTGCTGATGTCGGCGCTCGCCTTCGGCTGCTTCGCTTACGGTCGCCGAGTGGGAAGCGAGCCTCTTCTTCCTGGTTTCTCGTCTCCACCACAGCCACAACAGTCTGGCCCCCCGTTTTTCGTCCCCTCCGCCTCGTACTTCCGAGACCTTACAGGCAGAGCTGGAGCTCCCTCGCCTCTCGCACTGGCCGCGGAAGTGAGGTCACTAGGGGCAGGCTCCTCTTGGCCACCACCATCGTGTGCTTGCGTTTCTATCTTCTGCTTTTTTCGTGGTTCCCTCCTGGCCGTACACAAACGTGCTGTGCTCTGGTCTCTCCCATGTGGGAATAAATCCATCCGATCACCTGCAAAGCGTTGCCTTCGCATCCTGGCCCTCCTCCTTCCCGACTCCACGGAGACGGTGTCCTTCCAGGTCGCCAAACATCTTTTCCAAAAAGTGCATCCTTTTTCTGATACAGAAGCAGAAAACAAAGCCTGACTCCTACCCTTCCGGGATAATCACTATTAATGTTTTAGTGTATTGTCTGCCCTCTAAACATTTGATGTTTTTGAATAGATAATACATTATAATGTTTCAGAAATGAAAACCGGATTTTAAAGTAAACAGACTTTAGAAAAGTCTTCCTACTCCTCCACAGGTTACCGCTTACATTAGTTTATTATGTTTCCATTTAGTTTTGTTAAAAAAAAAAAAAAGGACTCTTTCCCTTCTTAATTAGTGTATTTCTCTTTTCCTCTATGCATATTTATTTTCTCCCCATATTGGGATAATCAGGTAAGTGGTTTTGTATCTCACCGTTTACAGTTACTGTTATGTTTATACATTAAATGTTTGAAATCACTTTATCAACGATTGCCAGGCTTGGTGCTTTGGAGACAGTGATTTAAGAAATGATAGGTCTTATATGAGATTACATCAAGTTAAAAAGCTTCTGCACAGCAAAGGAAACAGTGAAGAAACAACCTACATAATGGGAGAAACTATTCGCAAACTATCCATCCGACAAGGGATTAATAACTAGAATATATAATAAACTCAAGGAAAAAATATAATTAAATGGGCACCAGCCGGGGCAACATGGTGAAACCCCATGTCTACCAAAAATACAAAAAATTAGCCAGTCATGGTGGCCTGTGCATGTAATCCCAGCTACTCAGAAGGCTGAGGATGGAAGGATTACTTGAGCCTGGGAGGTGGAGGTTGCAGTGAGTTAGCCAAAATCTTATCACTGCACTCCAGCCTAGGCAACCATCTCAAAAAAAGAAAAAGAAAAAAGAAAAACATGGGCAAAGGACCTGCTGAATAGACATATCTCAAAAGATGACATACAAATGGCCAACATAGAAATGGTATATGAAAAAATGCTCACTATCACTAATCATCAGGGAAATGCAAATCCAAACCACAATAAGAGATCATCTTAGCCCCAGTTAGAATGACTGTTATCAAAAGAAAAAAAAATACAAAATGGTGACAAAGATAAGAAGAAAAGGGAATGCTAATAGCCTGTTGGTGAGAATGTAGATTAGTACAGCCATTATGGAAAACAGTATTGGCAGGGCATGGAGGCTCACACCTGTAGTCCCAGCACCTTGGGAGGCTGAGGCAGGCAGATGGCTTGAGCCCAGGAGTTCGAGATCAGCCTGGGCAACGTAGCAAGACTCTTGTCTCTATAAAAAAATAAAGGAAAGCAGCACAGAGTTTCTCAAAAACTAAAAATAGAACTGCCATATGATCCAGTATTCCCACTGCTGGATATGTACAAAAGAAAGGAAATAAGTATATCTAAGATATCTACTCCTGTAATCCCAGCACTTTGGGAGGCTGAGGCAGGGGGATCACATGAGCCCAGAAGTTCCAGACCAGACTGGGCAACATGGCAAGATCCCATCTCTCTTTTTTTTTTTTTTTTTTTTTTGAGACAGGGTCTTACTCTGTCACCCAGGCTTGAGTGCAGTGGCACGATCTCAGCTCACTGCAATCTCCATCTCCTGGGCTCTAGTGATCCCCCACCTCAGCCTTCCAAGTAGCTGAGACTAGTGGATCTCATGGAAGTAGAGGTGGTTACCAGAGGCTGGGAAGGGAAGATGGGAGGAAAGATGAAGAGAAGTTTGTTAATGGGTACAAAAATACAGATACATAAAAAGAGTAAGTTCTGTAGTCAGTAATACGGTAGGAAAATATAGTTAACAGAAACATTGTATATTTTAAAAGAAAAGAATTGTAATGTTCCCAATACAAAGAATAGATAAATATTTGAGTTGATGGATATCCCACTTACCCTGATTTGGTCATTACATATTGTATACCTGTATAAAAATACCACCACATGTACCCCATAAATATGTACAACTATATAAAAAAAAATTTTTTTGGATGGAGTGCAATGGTGCATTTTCGGCTCAGCACAACCTCTGCCTCCCAGGTTCAAGCGATTCTCCTGCCTCAGCCTCCCGAGTAGCTGGGACTACAGGCATGCGCCACCATACCTAGCTAATTTTGTATTTTTAGTAGAGATGGGGTTTCTCCATGTTAGGCTGGTCTTGAACTTCTGACCTCAGGGGATCCACCATC
Organism: Homo sapiens; assembly: GCF_000001405.40. NCBI lineage: Eukaryota > Metazoa > Chordata > Mammalia > Primates > Hominidae > Homo > Homo sapiens. Next base: position 256,912 of record NW_025791763.1, read on the forward strand.
CTCGGCCTCCCAAAGTGCTGGGATTACAGGCGTGAGCCACTGCCCCCGGCCCTATATCAAATTTTTAAGGTAGGTATTAACTTCATGGAGCATGCAGTTTGCGGTACATAAATATTAAATATCTACACAAATGTGTGTATGTGCATGCACATTCCAAGAACTGCCAGAAAGAAAATTATAGAAACTATGAGATCATTTGAGGAAGGGACCTTTAAGATGAGGACCAAAGGATGTAGCTATGTCCCAGGTACATACTGGGAAGATGAAGGGAAGAGGAGGATGAGCTTTCCTGGCTGAGTGTACAGCATGTAGTAGGTTGGTACAAAAGCAATTGCGTTTTTGCTGTTTGACAAAAACAGCAATTACTTTTGCACCAACCTAATACAATGGCCTGCAGACAGGTGGGGACCTGGTATTTTGTGTAAGTCTAAAGACTATGATTGTCAGGTAATAGAGAACAAGGAGAAAGGCAGGAAAGAGGCTGGAGCAGAGCCAGGTTAAAGAACAAATGACCTGAGAATTGTCTAGAACATGAATCTACTAAGCACAAAAAGTACAACAGAAAATAAGGCAGTTAACTTTGTGGGTTTTGTTTTGAGATGGAGTCTCCCTCTGTCGCCCATGCTGGAGTGCGTGATCTCAGCTCACTGCAGCCTCCGCCTCCCGGGTTCAGATGATTCTTCTGCCTCAGACTACTGCGTAGCTGAGATTACAGACACCCGCCACCACGCCGGGCTAATTTTTGTATTTTTAGTAGAGGCGGGGTTTTACCGTGTTGACCAGGCTGGTCTCAAACTCCTGACCTCAAATGATCCACCCACCTCAGCCTCTGAAAGTGCTGAGATTACAGGCGTGAGCCACTGCGCCCTGCTGTATGCCAGTTAACTTTGATTGAAATGTAAACTAGTCCCTCTCCTGCCAGAAAGAACTATAGCTGCCAGGGGAAATAACTCCTCTGGAGTCTACTGAGGGCAATATTTGGCTTACATGATATGCAGTTCTAGTCAATCAGAGTTCTTCAGAATTTCAAAGAATAGTGCATATAGTGGCATATAATTTTCAGGAACAAGTGCTTTATTTTTATTTTTATTTGTTTATTTATTAATTTGAGACAGGGTCTCACTCTGTCGCCCAGGCCGGATATTTTTTAATTTAAAAAACAATTATGTTCTCAATATGTTTCTCTGTCATAAGAAAATGTCTCTCACACATACACTCATTACTGAAGAGAAAATAAGAATCACAGGAAGTGAGAAATCTTTTGCCAAACTATTTAGAACCTTGACTCCACTTAGGCTAAAAGAAATGAATTGGTAAATTAATTTGTTTCTAAAAGAAAACTCTGGTGAGGTGCAGTGGCTCACACCTGTAATCCCAGCACTTTGGTTGGGAGGCCGAGGCTGGCTGATTGAGCCCAGGAGTTCAAGACCACCCTGGGCAACACGGCGAAACCCCGTCTCTACAAATAATTTTAAAAATGAGCTGGGCGTGGTGTGCACCTACAGTCCCAGCAGCACTGAGATGGGAGAATTGCTTGAGCGTCATAGGTGGAGGCTGCAGTGAGCTGTGATCAGGTTACTGCACTCTAGCCTTGGCAACAAAGTGAGACTCTGTCCCAAAAAACGGAAAAAAGAGAAGACAAGAGAAAAAAAAAATTCTGGCTGGGTGCGGTGGCTCAAGCCTGTAATTCCAGCACTTTGGGAGGCCGAGGCAGGCGGATCATTTGCGGTCAGGTGTTCCAGACCGGCATGACATACATGGTGAAACCCCGTCTCTACTAAAAATACAAAAAAAAAATTTAGCTGGACATGGTGGTGCATGCCTGTAATCTCAGCTACTCGGGAGGCTGAGGCAGAAGAATCACTTGAACTTGGGAGGCAGAGGTTGCAGTGAGCTGAGACTGCACCACTGCACCCCAGCTTAGGCGACAGAGCAAGACTCTCTCAAAAAAAAAAGGAAAAGAAAATTATTTCTACCTCCCCTAAATAAGTGTTTGACTAACATTTAAAGATATTGGCTTATCAAGGGTATGTGTGTCTGGTGAGGGAACAGTAAATTATTAAGCCTGACCTGGTGTCCAAATTACTAGACAATAGAGGAAAGGAGTCCAAATGATGCAGAACTCATGGGGCATGTCCAGGGTTTTGTATTTTATCTTAACAATAATGGTACCGCTAGAGTTTTAAGTAGAGGAAAGATAGAATCAGAATTGGGATTTTTTAAAGACAATCAAATTTAGCAATGGGGTGTTATATATTAATACAAAGTGTAGTGATACTAATGTTAGTAAGTTCTGAGAACCCAATACCATCAGACCAGCTAAGGGTTGGGAATTTTTATTATTTTTTATTTTATTTTATTTTTGTTTTTAGACGGAGTCTCACTCTGTCACCCAGGCGGGAGTGCAGTGGCACAATCTCGGCTCACTGCAACCTCCGCCTCCTGGGTTCAAGCAGTTCTCCTGTTTCAGCCTCCCGAGTAGCTGGGATTACAGGTGCCCACCACCATGCCCAGCTAATTTTTGTATTTTAGTAGAGGCAGAGTTTCACCATGTTGGCCAGGCTGGTCTCGAAATCCTAACCTCAAGTGATCCACCCACCTCGGCCTCCCAAAGTGTCGGGATTACAGGCGTGAGCCACTGGGCTCAGCCAAATTTTTAAATATTACTCTGGTTGTAGCATGAAAAACTTCAGTGGGGAGGTATGTCTGGAATTGGTGGGTTCTTGGTCTCACTGACTTCAAGAATGAAGCCGCGGACCCTCGCGGTGAGTGTTACAGTTCTTAAAGGCGTGTCCAGAGTTTGTTCCTTCTGATGTTCGGATGTGTTGGGAGTTTCTTCCTTCTGGTGGGTTCATGGTCTGGCCGGCTCAGGAGCGAAGCTGCGGACTTTCGCGGTGAGTGTTACAGCTAGCTCTTAAGGCGGCGCATCTGGAGTTGTTCGTTGCTCCCGGTGGGTTCGTGTTCTCGCTGGCTTCAGGAGTGAAGCTGCAGACCTTCGCGGTAAGTGTTACAGCTCATAAAGGCAGTGTGGACCCAAAGAGTGAGCAGCAGCAAGATTTACTGCAAAGAGAGAAAGAACAAACCTTCCACCGCACAGAAGGGGACCTGAGTGGGTTGCCACTGCTGGCTGGGGCAGCCTGCTTTTATTCTCTTATCTGGCCCCGCCCGCATCCTGCTGATTGGTCCATTTTACAGAGAGCTGAGTGGTCTGTTTTGACAGGGTGCTGATTGGTGCGCTTACAATCCCTGAGCTAGACACAAAGGTTCTCCACCTGCCCACTAGATTAGTTAGATACAGAGTGTGGACCAAAGGTTCTGCAAGTCCCCACCAGAGTAGCTGTATACAGAGTGTCGATTGGTGCATTCACAAACCTTGAGCTAGACACAGGGTGCTGATTGGCGTGTTTACAAACCTTGAGCTAGATACAGAGTGCCTATTGGTGTATTTACAATCCCTTAGCTAGACATAAAAGTTCTCCAAGTCTCCACCAGAGTAGCTAGATACAGAGTGTGGATTGGTGCATTCACAAACCCTGAGCTACACACAGGGTGCTGATTGGTGTGTTTACAAACCTTGAGCTAGATACAGAGTGCCGATTGGTGTATTTACAATCCCTTAGCTAGACATAAAGGTTCTCCAAGTCCCCACCAGACTCAGGAGCCCAGCTGGCTTCACCCAGTGGATCCCGCACTAGGGCCGCAGGTGGAGCTGCCTGCCAGTCCCATGCCGTGCGCCCGCACTCCTCAGTCCTTGGGTGGTCGATGGGACTGGGCGCCGTGGAGCAGGGGGCGGTGCTCGTCGGGGAGGCTGGGGCCACACAGGAGCCCACGGAGGTGGGGGAGGCCCAGGCATGGCGGGCTGCAGGTCCCGAGCCCTGCCCTGCGGGAAGGCAGCTAAGGCCCAGCGAGAAATTGAGCACAGCAGCTGCTGGCGCAGGTGCTAAGCCCCTCACTGCCCGGCCGCTAGGAGTGCAGGGCCCGCCGAGCCCACGTCCACCCGGAACTCGCGCTGGCCCGCAAGCACCGCGCGCAGCCCCGGTTCCCGCCCGCGCCTCTCCCTCCACACCTCCCCGCAAGCTGAGGGAGCCAGCTCCAGCCTTGGCCAGCCCAGAAAGGGGCTCCCACAGTGCAGCGGCGGGCTGAAGGGCTCCTCAAGTGCCGCCAAAGTGGGAGCCCAGGCAGAGGAGGCACGGAGAGCGAGCGAGGGCTGTGAGGACTGCCAGCACGCTGTCACCTCTCAGAGGGAGGAGTGAATTTAAGAGTTAAGAGACTGATGCAATAGTCCAAGTAGGACTAGTATAGGGAAAGTGAGAATGGAGGGAAGTAATTGGACTCAAGATAAATGTGAAGGTAATACTAACAGGCCTTGAAGATGGACAGGGTGTGGGGGAAAAGGAGTGATGGTGAAGAAGGTGTGGCGGTGTCCTTTCCCTGAGGGAAGGAGCACTAATGGAGAAGCAAGTCTGATGGGGGTGGGGCATAGAAAATGAATTTGCTTATGGTTAATTGCTTCTGTGTACTGTGGACCATGAGACAGCCAGGTGAAAATAATCTAGTTGGAAATGTAATCATGGAGTTCAAAGGTAAGTATAGGAACAATTTTTCTAACTAAATATTGTTCAAAACAGGATTGTTAATGGTTTCATAAAAAGTAATCTATTAGTTGATCATAATTGTGACAGTTCTCTTGCTATTGGACATCCGTATTATTTTTAGTTTTCTATTGTTAGTTAACTATTGTTAAGTACTGGTTAGGTGCCTTTTAAGGTAAGACAAATGCTTAGAAAGATTAAGTAGCCCTGGTAGAGTGGCTCATGCCTGTAATCCCAGCACTTTGGCAGGCCAAGACGAGAGGATCCCTTGAAGCCTGGAGTTTGAGACCAGCCTGGTCAACAAATTGAGACCCTGTCTCAATTTTAAAAATTTAAAAATTAGTCTGGCTTGAGACCAGGAGTTGGAGATTACAGTGAGCTATGATCTCTGCATTCCAGCCTGGGTGACTGAGTGAGAACCAATCTCTAAAGAAAAGAAAGAAAGAAAGATAAAGCAATTCTATTATTTTGCCAAAGCTTTGATAGCAGTGAGTATTATTAATCTGCCAAACAGATAGAAATATAGTCCTTAAGTGTTATTCTTTAATACTTATTGCACAAGTAATTCACATGACCGTGGACGAGTTACTTAATTACTTTAAATATTTGTTTCTTTATTATTATTATGTTGAGACAGGGTCTCACTCTGACACCCAGGCTGGAGTGCAGTGGTGTGATCTTGGCACACTGCAACCTCTACGTCCTGGATTTGAGCAATTCTCATGCCTCAGCCTCCCAAGTAGCTGGGACTACAGGTGTGTGCCGCCACACCCAGCTAATTTTTGTATTTTTAGTAGAGACAGGGTTTCACCATGTTGGCCAGGCTGGTCTCAAACTCCTGACCTCAAGTGATCCGCCCACCTTGGCCTCCCAAAGTGCTGAGATTACAGGTGTATGCCACCACGCCTAGCCTGTTTCTTCACTATGAAATGGAAATTAAAATGTTAAGAATTAGATTATTCATGTAAAATATAGTGTTTAACACCATATGTAGCATATAATGCTCTAAAATTATTACTGTAATATGTTAATTATAGAAAAATTATAAAACAAAGATGAACCAAAGTAAGAAAGATATTTCTTTTTTTTTCTTTTCTTTTTTTTTTTTTTGAGACCGACCATAGCTCACTGCAGCCTTGACCTCCCAGGCTCAGGTAATCCTCCCACCTCAGCCTCCCAAGTAGCTGGGACTACAGGTGCATGCCACCACACCTAGCTAATTTTTAAACTTTTTGTAGAGACAGACTATTGCCCAGGCTGGTCTTGAACTATGTTGCCCAGGCTGGTCTTGAACTCCTGGGCTCAAGCAATCCTCCCACCTCAGCCTCCCAAAGTGCTGCAATTACACATATGAGCCACCACACCTGGCCAGAAAAATATTCTTAATCCAGAGCTATTATCATGAATATTTTGTTGGTCCTCCTTTCCTATAGTAATATGTGCATATGATTGTTAACCAAAAATAAAGCAAGTTATAAACCCATATGTTGGCTGGGCACAGTGGCTCACACCTGTAATCCCAGCACTTTGGGAGGCCGAGGCAGTGGATCACTTGAGGTCAGGAGTTCGAGACCAGCCTGGCCAACATGGTGAAACCCCGTCTCTGCTAAAAATACAAAAATTAGCCGGGCATGGTGGCAGGTGCCTGTAATCCCAGCTGCTCTGGAGGCTGAGACACAAGAATCGCTTGAACCCAGGAGGCAGAGGCTGCAGTGAGCCAAGATCCTGCCACTGCCCTCCAGCCTGGGCAACAGGGCGAGATTCTGTCTAAAAAAAAACAAAACAGGCCAGGCACAGTGGCTCACACCTGTAATCCCAGCACTTTGGGAGGCCAAGGCGGGAGGATCGCGAGGTCAGGAGTTCAAGACCAGCCTGGCCAAAATAGCGAAACCCCGTCTCTACTAAAAATACAGAAATTAGCCGGGCATGGTGGTGTGCGCCTGTATTCCCAGCTACTTGGGAGGCTGAGGCAGGAGAATCACTTGAACCCAGGAGGTGGAGGTTGTAGTGAGCCGTGATCTCGCCGCTGCCCTCCAGCTTAGGCAACAGAGTGAGACTTCGTCTCAAAAAAAAAGCCAAAAGAAAACCTTATGTAAAATGTTTGCCTTGCAGGCCTTTAGTGCTATACCTAGTCAGGTCACTTATCTTCTGGGACACTATCTCCTTGTTTTCCATTGTTTATTTTCTCCACATCCTTTGAGATCAACATACAGAAATCAACTATATTTCTATAACTTTGCAATGGACAATCTGAAAATGAAATAAGAAATAATTGCATTTGTGAATAGTATAAAAAAATCCATAGAAATAAATTTAACCAAAGAATTGCAAAATTTGTGTTGTGAAAACTACAAAACGTTGAAAGAAATTAAAGAAGACCTAAAGAAATGGAAAGATAGCCTATATTCATGGATTGGAAGACAGAGTTTTGTTAACATGGCTATGCTCCCCAAATTGGTCTACACCCAGTCTCTATTAAACACAGTGTCTATTAAGATTCCAGCTGGCTTGGTGCAGAATCGACAAGCAGATTCCACAATACATATGGAAATGCAAGAGGCATACAAAAGCAAAAACAGACGTGGAAAAGAACAAAGCTGAAGAATTCACACTTCCCAGTTTCAAAACTCACCAAAAAGCTGGAGTAATTAGGGCAGTGTGCTACTGGCAAAAAGACATAAAGAGAAACATCTTTGTTAACTACCTCAAGAGGTCAGCTTCACAATTTAGCGCTGGACTGCTAGCTTCTCAGATAATCAGCCTTAAGGAGTTTCCCCTCTTCATTATAACTTTTCTTTCAATTTGGGGGAAAAAAAACTACATGTAAATAATGCAAAATAATACAGAACAGTGTGAAGCAGAGTCAGGATTCCCATCTCTCCATCAAGTGTATTTCTTTCTAGTGTATGTTTGATTTCTAACTGACTTTAAAAATCATTTTGTGGGGCCAGGCATGATGGCTCACACTTGTAATCCCAGCATTTAGGGAGGTCTGCAGGTAGGAGGATTGCTTGAGCCCAGGAGTTTGAGATCAGCCTGGGAAACATAGCAAGACCCCATCTCTACACACACACGAGGTTTTGCCATGTTGGCCAGGCTGGCCTCGAACTCCTGACCTCAGATGATTGGCCGCCTCGGCCTCCCAAAATGCTGAGATTACAGGCATGAGCCACCACTCCTGCTTCACAAACTCCATTTTGCCTTTGGCAGAGGACGTGTTTTCTTTCTTCATGCCCTCTGGACATGATAGAGGTCCCCAAGCTTTTCCTGGCTACCACTTGCTCTGACCTTATACATGTTGGGTTTTGCTCTTAAAGAGGACAGCAGGAAGAAAGGTTGGTTTCAGAAACCAAGAGGGTTGGCAGTGGATGTGTAGATTTTGTCACGGAGTCCGCAGAGCTCAGCTTTTGAACCTCTGAGAAGTTTCATTTCTTGTGCAGAAAGAGTACACTTGAATTCAAGTTTGCCTTTAGAATTGCACTGAATAAAATACTGCACACTAAAGGAAAGCTTATTTTCTGCATGGTTGTCTTTTCAAAGACAATATTCGAAGCATGTTTCCTAGAGATTGTGTGGATGAGGGTGAGCTGGCTGAGGCATCACTCAAGCTAGGGGTGGTGTGTAAGAAGCACGAAGAGCCACAAGAGGCACCTCCTATAGTCAGCTAAGGGCTTCCCTTTCTGCGCCCAGCTTTTGGTTGAAGGGTGAATTTTTTTTTTTTTTTTTTTTTTTTTTGAGACGGAGTTTCGCTCTTGCCCAGGCTGGAGCACAACGGCACGATCTCAGCTCACCACAACCTCCCTGGTTCAAGCAATTCTCCAGCCTCAGCCTCCCGAGTAGCTGGGACTACAGGCATGCACCACCACGCCTGGCTAATTTTGCATTTTTAGTAGAGACGGGGTTTCTCCATGTTGGTCAGGCTGGTCTTGAACTCCCGACTTCAGGTGGTCTGCCTGCCCCGGCTCCCAAAGTGCTGGGATTACAGGCGTGAGCCACCACGCCCGGTGAAGTGTGATTTCTATTAGACGAATCTGTGGTTCAGTCATGGATGTTAATAGAGGAACCTGTTTTCCTGCTACAGATTCCTGAGTAAAATTGCTGTAAGAGTCCACTTCTGGACTCAGGGCAAGTCGAAGACCAGTCTATGTAGAAAGGCTGAGGCAACTGGGAAAGACCTGACAGCTAGTTACATATATTCTGACATAGTCCCCCCATAATGGCTTTTAGTGACACATGTGCTGATAGAATTCTAAACCTCTAGAATTCCCCTGCTGGTGATGCTGGTGTCTTCTTTTGTGCTTGACTGTACAGGGTAAACTGATGCAGAATGCTGCAAGTGTGATGAGAGCTAGAACGCTGTGAAAACTCTTGCTAGGAAGGTTGGGCTCGGTGTGACTTGCTCCAGTAGGAATCCTGGGTAGAGATTTTTAGCTGCAATTAAACGGTACATCCAGAGCCAAGGGTGACTCTCAACTCAGGTAGTTCTACAGGTCAGGTGTGAATTTACCAAATCTCCCAATTTGTTTATTTGTTTTGTTTTGTTTTGTTTTTTTAGAGGAGGGTCTCGTTCTGTTACTCTGGCTGGAGTGCAGTGGTGTGATCACAGCTCACTGCAGCCTCAAACTCCTGGGTTCAAACAATCATCCCACCTCAGCCTCCCAAAATACTGGGATTACAGACATGAGCCATTGTATTTAGCCAAATCTCCCAATTTAGAAACTCCTCTGTAAAGGGTTTGGGTCTGAGCTATATGTTTGGTTTTTTTTGTTTGTTTTGTTTTGAGACGGGGTCCCACTCTCTTGCTCAGGCTGGAGTGCAGTGTCACAATCTTGGCTCACTGCAACCTCCACCTCCCGGGCTCAAGTGATCCTCCCACCTCAGCCTCCTGAATAGCTGGGACTACAGGGGCACACCACCATGCCCAGCTAATTTTTCTGGGGGTGGGGTGGGGACTTTCTATAGAGACAGGGTCTTGCCATGTTGCTCAGACTGGTCTTGAACTCCTGAGCTCAAGCAATCTACCTGCCTTGGCCTCCCAGAGTGCTGGGATTACAGGCATGAGCCAAAGCACCCAGCCCTGAGCTGTATGGTACTTCAAACTGCCAACACGCCAGCCCCGGACACTCTGATTGGTATTCTTTTAATTCATCAGACTCCATGTGCAATAAATGACTGAGTGTTGAAACTGTTCTTTTTTGTTTGCCCAGTCGGTAGATGGCCACTTTTTGTAACTTTTTTTTTTCATTCAGGTTTCTATTTTTATTCAACTATAAGTAAACAGCACAATTAATGCAATGTTCAGCAACTCCAGACCAGCTTTTCTTACTCCCGTGAAGAATGATCAGTTTAACAAACACCGATCTAAGGTTTCCTCCCAAGCTGTCAGCGAGCGCTGCTGCCGGTCTAGATGGCCATGTCCCAACAACAGCAGCGCCACTCTCCCTCCTGCTTCTTCCAGGATTGCTCTTTAAAGGGACCAGAGCGACATACTGATGCCTATTGAGGCATCTGAGATGCACCGTGTTGGGGGTTAGCCTCAATGCCAGCCTCTGGTTGTCTAGGTGAGTGACATCACCATAAAAACACATTGTGTACCATTCTGGACTCAGGATCACAAAGGCAGAGGCAACCAATCTTTTTTTTTTTTAAACCTTCCTTAAAGATTCTTTGATGCTTTGCTCTATCACTGTAGACCTGGTTTTTTCCCCCTAGTTTTTTCTTTTTTACATTCTGGGTTGCTATTTTCAGATTAACAATTTGATGACCCCATCACAGTACCAAAATATCCCCCAAAATGAAGTTCAAATTTGATCAAAACATAAATCAGAGTGAGTGAGTAAAATTATAAAGGCCAGGCAGCAGGAAAAGTCACCCTCAACCACCATCTGACTGGTCAGGTCTCACCTGTGCCAAGGGGGGCAGGAAGAGGAGAAACCTATTATACATGCAACACTGAACTGGGGAACATGGCTTGGGGCCTCCAGAACAGTTCAGGTCCCCAAGCTAACCCACTAGTTCCCAGAGAGTTGCTCGTACAGTTTGGGCACATAGTCGTCCCACTCAGCCTGGTAACACGTGCCAGCCACCGGGGCCCCGAGCTCGTACTTTTTACGGAAGGACACCACCTCAAATTTGCCACGGTGGTCTCCAGATCGGTTGCTGAGGATGGGCTCGTCACACTTTAGTGGCCTGTCCTGCTCATAAACCAGCCAGACATAGCGGTGGAGACCTGTGCCCTTGGGAGGCCCCGAGCCCACATAATCGGAGAGGAGTGTGTCACTGCTGATGTCATTGCCCTTCATGTTGACCACCAGGAAATGATGCCATTCTCTGTATTTGGGATCCTTCCTGCTGGGAGCATCAGGGTCTGTCAGGACCAAGGTGTAGAGCTTCCCTGAATCAAGACCATCCCACTAAATGCTGGTGGGTCTATTCTTAACCTGGGTGGGCGTCAGCACTTTGCCCAGCTCGTCCACCACCGCCCGGGCGTAGGTGACATGCAGCAGGTGCTGTGACCGCTCGTCCATTTCTCGCAGGCTCAAGGGCCCGGACCACTTGCTGAGGTCCACCGGCATGGCAAGGCCAAGCAGAGCATGCAGCCGGGAGTGCCGCGGTAGGCCAGGTGCGGGCGGCAACAGCGACATGGAGAGCTCAGCACACTGGCCTGGGAAGGCGCAGACCCCACTTTTTGTAACTTTATAATTACTTAATTTTATTTTTTTAAAGCTTATTTTGGTGTTATTCAGTATATAGTGTTTTACTGAGCTTCTGCAAATGCCATCACAATAATAGTTTTGTTTTCTTGAACAAAAAACCAAAATAAATTTCAAATGTTAAAGCAATGGAATCAATAAATTTATTAATGTTACATTAACACGAACTACAAAGAGACCTTTCGTATGTCTGACACCAAAGACATAACTGAAAAGTCATTTTTCCAAACCTTGAGCTTGCATTCACCTACCTGTCTAACCCTCACATGTGCTAATTAACTGCAAATGCCATTTCTGGGCTTCACACACATTCCGTGGCTTTCCCTTTTCTGATGTGACTTCCCTCCCTTACCCCACACCTCCCTGCACTGTCCCCTGCTGTGCCCTTGGCTGGAATGCCCTGCAGCCTGCTTCAGCCCAGCAAAGTATTCATCTTACCAGTCCATGCCCTGACTCCTGATGTCACCCTTCCCTGCATCACCCTTCCCTGTGTATTTGGTGGATAAGGCTTGATTGAGGCTCAGGTACTGAGTCCCTGCTGGCACATTGAGAACCAGCTGCCACCCCGATGATAAGGAAGACAGACCCGGGACTTCCATATGAATTGGATATGATCATCTGACATGCACCCTACTAACTGATGGATCCTGCTGTTACCCCAAAGCTCCAGAACCACACTGGCCAGACACAGGCATTTCCTGTCCCCTGAAGAGCCACTGAACCCAGCACAAAAGAGATCTAGAGCTCTCCAAACCTATGGAATGGCAACCAAAACCATGCCCAGGTTTTGAGTTAAGCCTCATTAGTCTCCCTTTTCCCTTGACAGTGTAGAACTGTGCAGCGTAGCACTAAATGAATGAGAGCAGAAGCCTCAGGACAGAACTGAACCCACCAGGTTGAGCTGACAACACTGCCAGGGGTTCTATCCACAGATGGAATATTCGCTTTGATCACTGAGTTAGGAGGCATGGGTGAGGGATGCAGAGCGCCGCTCGTCATGAGACATCAAGCTATCCAAGTCAATATCCTATTAGTAGGGATGGCATGTTATAAAAGGCGTAAAGATCTCACCTGCCCCAGCTGGAAGCAGTGATTCCATTGCCCCAGATTCGGAATTGTGATTTAAACTAGGCCTCTCTTCAGGCATCAGAACCAAATTAGAGTGCTTTATACGTGCAAGGAACTAATGCAGAAAGACATTATGGGTAAGTCAAGGGAGATGCCCCAGCCATTGGGCAAATTCCTCTGACTCCTCCCTGATGGAACTAATTCTTTTTCTTCTGTGCCCGGATCCTAGAATCAAGATTCTTAAGGTCTGAGTACAAGTTCCGCTTCAGGATGGCGCTGCTGCACAGCAGGGCACCTTGCAGGGCCCCGACCAGTCCACAGGTGAAGATATCCTGGCCTAGGAGGCAAGAGCAGAGGCCCCTGAGCGTGCACCCAGGCAGGCCCAGGGGAGGGTGGGGCCTTGGTGCTCTTCCCTCCACATGAGGGCCACCCAGAGCTGGCTCCAATCAGACAGGGGCCACAGCCTGCCCAGGCAGCCCTGCTCAGGGGATGGGAGGCTGCAGGGGACAGCAGGGCCTGAGGGCAGGAACAGAGGACGTTGGGCGACAGGGGCCCAGGGTCTCAGGTCCTGACAACATGGGGCAGTGAGTATACCTGTCAGATAGAGGTTGGGGATGGGGCTCTGGGCCCTCAAGGAGGCCATCACACAAGGGTGCAGGCGGCCCAGGTCATGGTCAGCCCCGTAGCAGGCACCTCGGGGAGCAGCCAGATAGAACTGGTTGGTGAGTGGGGATCCTGCAGTCACACTCTCCACCTGAGGGCAGAAAGGGTGGGCCAGGCATGTGAGATCCTGGCTCCCCTCCCTCTTCCACTCTTTCCCATTCACTGACTGCAGGGATGGGTGCCCTGTCCTTCCCTGGGGCTCATGTCTTGGGGCCTGATTCCCCTGTCTCAAGGAAAGGGCAGAAACAGCACCGTGAGGTTCGTCACCACCCCAAATACTTTACCCCCTACCTTCCCCTCCAGCTGTGGGAACAGTTTCAGGACCACTGACATAGAGGCTTCCACAAAGGAGTTTTTGAAGGTCTCATAGTCACTGCCCCGCTTTCCCTTCAGCTCCGCCTGCCACTCCTCAAACCACTCGTAGGCAGTGGGTATGAGCATGATCATGGTGGACCGGCCTGGGGATCAGAGCTGATATTACTACTGCCCGGCCTCTCCCTCCACCCCCTCACCCGGGACGTGCAGCCCCACCTGGGAATCGGTCCTCCCAGGTCGGATCTTTGGCTGATGGGAAAGCGAAGAAGAGAAGAGGGATGTGTTCCGCAGCCTCTTCCCTGGGCATGGAGACGTAGCGCTCCATCCTGCATGTGACAAGAGTGTGGTGGGATCTCCAGGTTTTTGTCCTCAAAACCCCAGAACCACTGCAAGGACTGCTTATCCCTAGGGACTCCCCACAGGGGTGAAGCTGAGCCACAGCCTTGGCGTGACAAACTTCCAGGAGCAAATTAGAAATTGCCTACTTCCTCCCATTCCATAACCTCTGCTCATTCTCTGAGTCAAGCAGGGAGGCACGGGCCACACACATACACACACACGTGCGCCTTACGCCTGGTCCATGTCCGTGTCATAGTAAACATAGTAGTTGGTGGACGGCAGATGCAGGTCTTCCTTGGTGCCTCGCAGGCAGATGAAAACAGAGGTCATGCCTAAGCCGGGCCGCACCGTCCCCAGTTGCTGCTTCACACCTGCCAGGGGGAGTGGTTGGTGCCTGTGTGGACCATGGCCGGAGACGGCCACTCCTTGCTCCCAGGAGAGCCTTGGGGTGCCAGCTCTGGCACCTGCCTGAGGCATGCCGGGCCCCTGGCCACTCTGCTTCCTTCATTTAACTAAATATTTTTGAGGCCTTCAGATCGTGTTCAGGAGGAAAATTCATAGACAAGGGAAAATTGTAACCAGACAGTGAGAGGGGGGCGGGAGGGACAGATGACTGTAGCAGGGCTGCCTGGCCAGGACAGTGTCAGTTCCCAGAGGTCCTGGGACAGGGGAGAAGGGAGGTCAGGGTCACAGAGAGAAAGGTAGGAAGTAGCAAAGGCAGAGTCTGCCTGTGCACCATGCCTGACCTCCCTGCTCTGCCCCTGGGCCATCTCTGCCTCACCCCTTCAGCTCCTGAGAGTCTGAGAGAGGGGAGGCCGAGCAGGCTGCAGGCTCAGCCACGCAGGGTGAAGGAAGGAGAGGCTGGCGCTGGTGAAATCACCCTATGCCCTGGAGACAATCACAACTGCCTTACCACCCAGTCCCCATGCGGAAAGCCAGGACCTCGCTTTACCCCCCAGCCCGCTCTGCTGTCCCCTTCCCCGGCTCCTCAGGGAGCAGCTCCCGGGCCCACCCTCTGGGGTCAGGGCTCCTTCCCCTGCTCTCTAGCTCCTGCACCAGTCAAGGTTTCCGCCATACCATATCCGGAGCTACTCCATGCTCTCCAGCTCCCGCCCCATCCTGAGTCCTTCATCTGGGCCCCTCTCTCTCACCCCTGCTGGGTTACTGGTCCCCTCTTCCCAGCGGCCTCCCTTCCTCAGATCCAGTTACATGAAGGTGGCGGGACCTCTTAGCTGCGTTGGCTCGGCGGCTCTGCTCCCTGTGGGCTGCCTGCTCTCCTGCTTCTCTTCCTGAGGCCTCTTCTCTGGAAGCCCCCTCAGCCCAGAAGGGTGGGAGGAGCGGAGCTTTCAAATCAGACCAGCTACTCTGCTCAGCCCTGCCCCTTTCAGCTGAGTGGCCTCAGGACTGTAATTAATCTGTATGGGCCTCAGTTTCCCCAACATTAAATGCTAGGGTTAGGATGATGTTAGAGGTAGCGTTCTCACCTTGTTGCTTAAGGACAATCAGAGGGCCGGCCAAGAAGAGGAGAAGCATGACCCACACGGAGCAAGTTGGCTCCAGAAGGAGACACATTGGGGAACCTGCAAGAGGGGCAGTGCAGACCCGCCTTTTACCTGGCAGGCAGCGGGCGTTCCCCGGCAGTAGGTGTTCATAGGTGTTGAACAGTCCTGCGTTGGAGACCACGATGGGGCAATAGATGTTCACCAGCTCATGCCCCTTCTTCACACTGACACCTGCAGGCACAAGAGCTTGGCTGAGGGTCTGTGAGCTCTGGGATGAAGAGAAAGGCCCACGGCCCCCATGGATCTCTCTCTGCCTGTGCCCATTTCTCAGACCTTGGAGTCCAGCTACCTAGACTCAGGCAGGGCAGGCCCCTGGGAAAATGCACAGTGAGTGAGTATCTTCAGGTGCTTTCACAATATCCTACAACTGCTTGGGCTTACTTTCCCTAGCTCTGTACCCACCTGTGTGTGTGTATGTTTGTATGTACTCTGTGTTTGAGCCAAATCCCAGACAAAGCTCAAGGGCTAAAGACCTTCCACTGGAAATCCAGGCCCTTTTCTCTGCTGCCAGAGTTGTTTCCAAATACTCTTTAATACCCTCCAATCGGGGCTAGGCACAGTGGTTCATGCCTGTACTCCCAGCGCTTTGGGAGTCTGAGGTAAGAGGACTGATTGCTTGTGTACAGGAGTTCAAGACTAGCCTGGGCAACATAGTGAGACCCTGTCTCTATAGAACAAAAAAATTTAAATTAAGCTGTATGGAGTTGTGCACACCTGTAGTCCTATCTCCTCAGCCAGAGGAATGGGTTCAGCCCAGGAGTTAAATGCTACAGTAAGCTATGATGACACTACTGCACTCTAGCCTGGGCAAAAGAGTGAGACCGTGTATCTAAAAAAAATGAATGAATGAATGAATGAATAAAATAAAAATAAAACCCTGCAATGATGCCTCATCCTGGATAAGAGAACCTCCAAAATCTTACAGCAGCCTGTGCAATGTGGTCCCTTCTGTGTGTCCAGCTCCATCCATCTCTGGTCACTCTCACTAAACTCCCACTAAACTATTAGGCAGAACCAATATCAAACAGCTGAGAGTCAACCATTTCTTACCTACAAAAATGGCAGTTTCTTATTGTTCGACCTAATACTTCTGGATGCCTGAAAACACCCAGCTCTTTCATATCTCCACACCTTTGCACATGCTGCTTCCCATTCCTGGAATATTCTCCAACCTCATCTGCTTGCTAGCTTCATCTCACCCTTTATTACTCAGCTACAACACCTGTGCCTCCAGGAGGCTTCCCCTGTTCCACCGTGCTGTCTGTTATCCCCATCCTTAGCACACGCCTCCAGATGGCAAGTAAATGAATGCTTTTTCTTTTTTAAGATGAAGCCTCGCTCCGTTGCCCAGGCTGGAGTGCAGTGGTTCAATCTCAGCTCACTGCAACCTCCGCCTCCCAGGTTCAAGCGATTCTCCTATCCTGGCCTCCAAGTAGCTAGGATTACAGGCTCCCAGCACCGTGCCTGGCTAATTTTGGTATTTTTAGTAAAGACAGGGTTTCACTATACTGGCCAGGCTGGTCTCGAACTCCTGACCTTGTGATCCACCCACCTCGGCCTCCCAAAGTGCTGGGATTACAGGCGTGAGCCACTGCGCCTGGCCCTGGCTAATTTTTGTATTTTTAGTAAAGACAGGGTTTCACTATGTTGGCCAGGCTGGTCTCGAACTCCCAACCTCAGGTGATCTGCCTGCCTTGGCCACCCAAAGTGCTGGGATTACAGGCATGAGCCACTGCGCCCGGCCTCTTTTATCTCTATCTTTTATTACCTAGCACTTGAAAAACAAACAAATATATCTGGATTGTATTTAACTCAACTGATACCTTGCTTCCTGGACCCCTTTCAGCTGAAAGGAGAACTTGTTCATGGACATCAGAGAAAACCTTGCCCAACCAACAGCCACCTCTCTCTTACCACCCGGTAACTTATCAGTCTCTCCTACTAATGGATTCTCTCAGATCACTGATGGCCTTTTCTCCTTCATTTTTCATTTTGCACTGGGCCCCCCACTTATCACCTCCTTGAAAGGTTCCTCTGATAAATGCATGTCTACATTAGCCCAGTTTTTCCCAGGCCTCTTTTTGTCTGCTTCCCTGGCTTCTTTAAGCACCCATTAGTCATAGATGGCCTATTCTGTTTAACAGAGTCCTTCTTGCACAGACCCTCTATTCCAAGAGTTCATTTATACTGGGATTCTGAGTCCCTATGCGGGTTACAGCATCAACCTGAGCCAGGGTAATAACGTTCTGGGCCCCACTTTACAGATAGAGGCAGGGAACCTTGCTGGCCTCCATACTATCCTGTGGAATCCAAGGTTACTCATTCATTCTATTGGCCACTGAACAGCATTTATTGAGCCTCTAATATGTGCTAAGATTTATAGATACAAAGATAAAAGACAGTCTCTACACTCAAGAAGATAGTCGGCTGGTCTCCGTGCCTGACGCCTGTAATCCCAGCACTTTGGGAGGCCAAGGTGGGCGGATCACAAGATCAGGAGATTGAGACCATCCTGGCTAACACATGGTGAAACCCCATCTCTACTAAAAATACAAAAAATTAGCTGGGCGTGGTGGCGGGCACCTGTAGTCTCAGCTACTCGGGAGGCTGAGGCGGGAGAATGGCATGAACCAGGAGGCGGAGCTTGCAGTGAGCCGAGATCACACCACTGGACTCCAGCCTGGGCAACAGAGCGAGACTCCAACTCAAAAAAAAAAAAAAAAAAAAAGAAGACAGTCATAGATTACTGGGTAAATAATTTTATCTATTAAATAAATAAATAAATACTGTTCTTTGGGGACCATGCAATCCTTTATTTTTCTTTTCTTTTCCTTTCTTTTTTTTTGAGATGGCGTCTCGCTCTGTCGCCCAGGCCGGAGTGCGGTGGCGTGATCTCAGCTCACTGCAACCTCTACCTCCTGGGTTCAAGCAATTCTTCCGCCTCAGCCTCCCAAGTAGCTGGGACTATAGGTGCGTGCCACCATGCCCAGCTAATTTTTGTATTTTTAGTAGAGACGGGGTTTCACCGTATTGGCCAGGCTGGTCTCGAACTCCTGACCTTGTGAGCTGCCCGCCTCGGCCTCCCAAAGTGCTGGGATTACAGACGTGAGCCACCATGCCCGGCCATATTTTTGTTTTTTTTTTTTTAAAGAGACAGGGTTTAACCATGTTGCCCAGGCTGATCTCAAATTCCTGAGCTCAAGTGATCCTCCCATCTCAGCCTCCCAAAGTGCTGGGGTTACAGGCTTGGACCACTATGCCCGGCCAATCCTTTATCTTTCCTGCTTCCTTTTTATTTCTGGACTAATCACTATCCCTGGACCCTGCTCTGGGGCAGATTCTCACCTTTAGCCTCCATGAGGAGGTCAGTTCTCCTACTCCTTCTGGTCTCAGGGAGACCCCAGGTCGCCCACACCAACCCAGGGACCCAGAAGGGCAGGGCGGGGCAGGGCTCTCACCACAGGCTTTCCCAGCTGAGTCCAGCAACACACTCTGCACAGTGGCCTTTGTGAGGACAGCGCCCCCAGCCCGCTGAATCACAGGGATGGTGTGGAAGGCAATTTCACTGGAACCCCCTCGGGGATAAAAGCCTCCTTTCATGTAGTGGTTGACCAGCAGGGCGTGCATGGAAAAGGCACTGTGGTTGGGGGTGACACCTGCAGAAGCAAGGAAGGGTGGTGAGCTGGCAAGAGAAGGCACCAGCACCATTCAGAAAGGAACGTGGAATTCTGTGAGATAACACACAGCCCAGTCTATCCGAGGAACCACATGTTCCTCAGGGTCCAAGGCAGCCAGAGGAGCCTTTCCATCTAGACATGGGGTACCTTAGAGATCTTGGCGCCAGTAGGAATACCCCCCCTGCAAACTGCCATGCTGCCAAGACCAAGGAGGATAGTGTTGCTTGAATTGAAAAATCATCCAAGGCATGGATGAACAGAATTTTGACCAAGGAGTCCAGCAGGTGGCCAGACTTCTCATCCACAAGCTCCAGAGGGCCTGGGGTTTACACTGCTCCATATCAGTCAGCCAGGCAGGGTCGAGAAGAAAGATTGAGAGATGAGAGGGCAGCCGTTCCTCCTCCAGAAGCTGCCCAGAGCCCAGGCCCAGTACCCACCGTAAGTGGGGAAGATGTAGCTGAGTACTGCCTGGAGCTCAGAGGAGGCCCCCAGCTGCTGCAGGACCTCAGCCAGGCTCTGGGTGGATGCTTGAAGGAATGGAGAGAAACGAGTCAGCAGCCCACACCTGTCGAGGAGCTGAACCACGGGCAATGGGAGGAATTTCAACAGGATGGCATGAGGGGCTCCACTGGATACCACCTGGGGGAGTGAATGAGGACAGCAGGCCTCACCTCTAGAACCGCTTTGACAGAACTGCTATCCCCATAGCCTGGACCAGCCCAAGAATCCAGCAACACTTACCCCTGACTGAACTTTGCTGAATTTGAATATTTTTAAAAAATCTATACTCTGTGAATTTTTCCCATCCTACACTCGGATGAGTCCTTTTTTTGCTTTTAATTTTCCTGCTCAAATTCCTTTTCAAAAATCCCAATCTGGTCTCGGATGCAGTAAAAAGGAGTAGTGATCTGATGTCATGGAAGCCAGCCTAGTCAGGGAGGAGAGCAGGGCATCCCCAGAGGCCAGGGTGACAGCAGCAGCCGTGGAGCCAAGGCTCCAGAGAGAGAGAGACAGAGAACTGGATGGACTTGGGTGGAGGCTGAGCTAAGAACAGATGTGACTCTTCCTCCCTTCCTGCCTCCCGCACTGCACTCTCCACCCCCAGTGCCTCCACTAATAATAAAGAAACCCAGCCTTATCGAGAACAAACTCTGGGTCCTCAGCATGTCCATGTTACCTTAACCAGCTTTATATACTTGTCAATGATAGCTTCCTCCTGTGGAAACTTCTCCTTGAGGCCCTGAATGTAGGCTTTCTCTCCACTGTACATGGGGTACTCCTTTCGGCCATTGGGCCCTTCCAGTACCATGATGTCAAAAGGAGAGGACAGGGGAGCCCAGTCCAGCTGCCCTTCAGTGATCTGGTCCAAGATAAAACGGCCAATGCTGCCCTCTTCCATACGCCCAATGTAATGGATTCCTGTTGGGAGATGGAAAAACAAGGTAGTAAAGGGATATGGGGATTGAGCCCTGGAAAGGTGGCTGAGGAAGTGAGGTGGAAGAGTTTATCTGGCCTGGCCAAGTTCACGCCCAGAGTGAGCTGCTCACTCTGTCTGTAGGGAGGTGTCACAGCAGAAACCGCCAGATCGCTGCCCGATTCAACTCCCAGTAGCTATGCTGTCACATAAGAAAACTGCCCAGAGGCTGGGCACGGTGGCTCACACCCATAATCCCAACACTTTGGGAGGCAGAGGGAGGTGGATCACTTGAGGTCAGGAGTTCGAGACCAGCCTGGACAACATGGAGAAACCCCATCTCTACTAAAATACAAAAAAATTAGCGGGGTGTGGTGGCCCACTTGGTGGGATTACTGAGTGTAATCCCAGCCACTCGGGAGACTGAGGCATGAGAATCACGAACTCAGGAGGCAGAGGTTACAGTAAGCTGGGATCACACCACTGCGCTCCAGCCTGGGTGATGAAGTGAGACTCTGTCTGAAACAAACAAAGAAAAAAAGTACCCAGAGAGAAGATGGCACTTCCAAAACAACAGAAATGCTCAGTATCACCCCACAAGGGCTGCTCCAAGCCTCTTCAACATACAGCCATGCTCCCAACCCTTTTCCACACAAGCCTTACCTGTGTCAAATTCAAGGCCATTCTTTCCAAAGGTATGACAGCAGCCCCCTGCCTTGGTATGTTGTTCCAGCACCAGGACTCGCTTGCCAGCTTTAGCTAGAATTGCAGCTGCAGCCAGGCCCCCAAAGCCACTGCCAATTACCACCACATCCAGCTTCTCCGGCACTTGGTTGGCTGAAAAAGCTACAGCAGAAGGGCCAAAGGGTGGGTTTCTCAGGCAGGGGCAGGGAAATAGCAAAGATAGGGAAACCAAAGAAGACTTCTCTAGCTTGTACAGTGCAAGAAACCTCTAGAGTGGTTTGGCACAGAACTCTTGACTAACATGTTTCAAACATTTTACCTGGGAATACTCAGAACCAGCCAGGCAGATTTGGGGTTTTGCTTATTTGTTTTTTGAGACAAGGTCTCACTATGGCCCAGGATGAAGTGCAGTGATGTGATCACAGCTCACTGCAGCCTTGAACTCCTGGCCTCAAGCAATCCTCCTGCCTCTGGTTCCCGAGTAGCTGGGACTACAGGTGCATGCCACCATGCCGGGCCATTTTATTTTTATTTTTATTTTTATGTGTTTAATTATTTTTTAAGACGGAGTCTCACTCTGTCACCCAGGCTGGAGTGCAGTGGCGCAATCTCCGCTTACTGCAAGCTCCGCCTCCTGGGTTCACATCATTCTCCTGCTTCAGCCTCCCGAGTAGCTGGGACTACAGGTGCCCACCACCACGCCCGGCTAATTTTTTTTTTTAATATTTTTTAGTAGAGATGGGGTTTCACCATGTTAGCCAGGATGGTCTCGATCTCCTGACCTCGTGATCCGCCTGCCTCGGCCTCCCAAAGTGCTGGGATTACATGCATGAGCCACCGCGCCCCGCCTATTTTATGTTTTATAGAGCCAAAGTCTTGCTATGTTGCCCAGGCTGATCTTGAACTCCTGGCCTCAAGTGATCCACCCACCTCGGCCTCCCAAATTGCTGGGATTACAGGCATGAGCCAACACACCAGCCCACAAGCCGGGTTTCTTTGGAAGATGCAGGGTCTGCAAGCAATAGTGGAATAGCTGGGTCTTATGGTGGCTCTTCCAGGTCCTGATGAAAAGGCTTGGGCAGGACAGAACTGCTCAGAGGCTGCAGCTCTGAGAAATCACAGCACCAGCCCCTCCCATAGGGAAGGTCTGGGGGCAGTGCTGAGGGAGGCAGCACCTTCTCAGAAGACAAAACTGGATAGCAAGTGGTGCTATATGGGTACTTCCGACACAAGATCTGTTCTTTAACAATCACTGGCAAAGAACTGAGATCTGGGATGTTTCAAGATACAAGAGAACTTGGCAAACTGCTTATTTTTTTAATGTTTTTAGAGAGATCAATAGTAAAAAAAAATTTCACATGTAAGTATATAAGATAAATACATGAAACAAGTGTCACAATGCAATACTTAGTGGAACTATGTATAATGCACTCTGATATTTTCTATTCTACTGCATTCTAAAATACTAGTTGTGGCCAGGCGTGATGGCTCACGCCTGTAATCCCAACACTTTGGGAGGCCGAGGTGGGCGGATCGCTTGAGGCCAGGAGTTCGAGAGCCTTGACAACATGGTGAAACCCTGTCTCTACTAAAAATACAAAAATTAGCTGGGCATGCCCACTACTCGGGAGGCTGAGGCAGGATAATCACTTGAACCCAGGAGGCGGAAGTTGCGGTGAGCGGAGATCGCGCCACTGCACTCTAGCATGGACAATAGAGCGAGACTCTGTTTCAATAAATAAATAAATAATGCCAGTTGCAACTCACTAAATTGATTTCATAGCCCACTAATAGATCACAATCCGGTTTGAAAAGCAGTTAAGCTAGTCATCTCATTTTTAGACCAGCCCAGGTAGGTGCTAATGGTTATGCAGCAAATTAGTGACAGAGTCCAAGCTAAAACTCAGTTCTCAGAAGTCCAGATGATTAGTCCTTCCACTTAGAACAGTACTGTCTCCGATTGTGTAGCAAGATATGACACGGAGAATTCTAAAATTTACAAGTGAGAGGGACTCCGTAGATCAAACAGGTGATCCATTATTTTTTAAAGCAGCAGAACTCTTTAAACTCTAGAAGCAACCACAAAATATGTTTTAAAGATGAGAGTGGAGAGCAGGCTCTGAGCCTGAGGCGCCTTGTTGAACCTCTGCCAATGTTTCAGAACTAGGGTTCAATCCTTACGATTTGGGACCATGCAAAGCCTGTTAAATCACCGGACGGGCAAAACGCAATTTCCTACGCATTTCTGTGCTGCTCCCCCACACCCCTGAGCTCGCATGGGAGGGTAGGTGAAAAAGTTAAGGTCCTGGAACCAAGTGGAGGAATGAGTCACGGGGATTATCAGTTCCACGAGCCACGGGGATTACAAGTGGCAGGGCGGGTGCCAACACCTTGCAAACCAAGGACAATGACCACACCCTTGGGACTACTATTCCCGGGGCCTACTAGGGCAAAGGCTATCGACAGTGTTGCACACTAAAGCGGGGCTCCTCCACGTGCAAGGAAGCCCTCCTAGTACTTTACATATGGGGAAACTAAGGCCCACGTCTGGTAGCGGCTGCCTTGGCAAAATGAGAACCCAAATCTGTGAGAAAGCCTCGAGTGCAGCCCCGGACCCCAGGGTCCCTCCTGCTACCTTGTTTGAGAACCTTCTTCCTGGCCTCCTTGTCAGTTACCAGGGGCGCTGGGGGCCGTTTGACATCTTCGGAGAAAGGATTCGGGGAGCTGCCAGAGAATAGTCCCAAGTAAACTTTGCAGAGGACGGCCAGCAGCAGCACAGCCAGGAGCAGCACCAGCGGAAGCCACATCACGCCGGCGTCGGGTCGGGTAAATGGGACAGCTCCGACTGCGCTCAGCCTCTAGGACTGTGGCTCCGCCCGGGCTAGTTCGCTCTCCAGTCAGGAGGCGGAGGCAGCTTTGAGCACTGATTAACCAGCCAGCCAGCGAAGAGCCAACTCTCAGGTGATGATTGACCCTCCCGGCTCTCCGTACTTCTTTTGGGTTTCCATTGCCTACTGGGAAATGTAGTTCTCGGGGCCAGGGGAGCCGGCACGGAAGCGGCTGTGCGCATGAGCAGATGAGGCCTAGCCGAGGCGGCGGGACCCCCAAGTTTGGAAAGCTCTTTTAACGGTGAGAACGCGTTAACACTTGCCAAGGGGAGTGGTTGGTGCCTGTGCGGAGCTAGCAGCCGGCCTGAGGAGGGAGGGAGAATGTGATCCGGTGGAAATTATCACTATGGGGCGAGACAAGGCCGAGAGTTGTAAGACTGAAAGAGAATCCCGACTGGGAGACAGGAGTCCTGAGTTCTGGTCCTGGCTCTGCCCTGGACTCGCTGCCTTGAGGTGTTAAATTGCTTTCCTCGTCTTACGCCTCCAGGCTATGCGAAAGTTCTGTCCAAAGGCTGCTCACAGCCCCTGTCTGACTGGTTGTCATGATGAATTGAGCTCTCTGTTACCTGCGCATCACAACCGGTGAGCGTCTGTCTCTGTGCCCCTCAAAGTGGCCCATAGTTTTGTCCTGGGGGCCCGCCTGGGACGGAGTCCTCTATGGCGGGTCCCTAATGACACCCCATCCGTGGGGAACCTGGGGGACGGGGAGCCGCCCATGGACAAGCATGGTGAAAGGATCAGCTAAGGGCCCATCTAATTTAAATTCCTATGCAGAGAATCTAACCTCCAGCAAGCAGTTGAAGAATCATACCCCCTCCTTGCCTAAAGAGGGTGCATAATGAATACTTGATTGGAGAAGGATCCATTTTTACAGGAAGGCCGTTTCCTTAGGTCCAACTATCAGGAATTTGCCTTTGAGTACTTCCTTGTTTAATGGAATTGTTGCTCTTTTCTTCTCTGCTACAGATAGTAACTGTCCCTACTGAAGGCCCCAGGAGTGCTCCAGCCAGGTGTGGAAAGCTGGTCACGATTCTATGCTACTTGGTTCATTTTCTACACAGCAACAGAAGAGCCCTCCTGAGATTGCTATTACCATACCCGCCTGTCACCTTGCCAAGGCTGGCCAATGTGTGTTTTGTCATAGGCTGTCATGGAGGCCATGATGGAGGAAAAGGAAAGGGGAGGCAGATGTTGAGGCCCCAGAGGCCACAGTGAGAGCAGTTTAGTTCCTGGGGTGCCAGGACTAAGGGGGCATTGCCCTGTCCCCCGGATTACAGTGAGCCACATGTCAAGCCCAAGAGCCAGGAGGTATTCTTCCTCTCAGTGTTAATAATCAAAGCATCCTGACACCAGCAGCCAGTTTTTATGGCATCCTGGAGGGCTGACCTCATAGAGAGGCTACCCTCCTTCCTTAGTCACCCAAAGTTGTGAACTATGATTGTCAGTTGTGTGTGGGCCATCTGCCCACTTAGGATGCAATTTTTGATGTGACAGACATTCCGGATGTCCAATTCCCCTGTGATGAGGTATGAGCCTTGTCCAGCCCTTTTCCTGAGGGAAGCAATGTCAGATGAAAGACTTAGAATTGCCCAAACTGGCTAGCCAGCTGCCACATGCACAGTATTGCTGATAACTGAGAAAGGTTAGAACATCGTGTTGCATTTTGAATTTCTACCATTGTTGGAACCAGGTCTAGTATTATAAGCCCCTGACCCAGCCTGTGTGTGAGGCCTAAACAAAGCCTGAGCACTTCAGCTAAGACCACCCACCAAGGTGACACCTTTAGCCTCACGCCTTTGATAAGCTGGCCCAGGTCCCAGTAACTCCATTGTCAGAAACAGACCCCATCCCTTCTAGTGGTGCTGCTGCCTTTTGGACACAGAATCCAGCTCACAGTCCCCTGTGTGGTCCCCTTTTGGCCATCCTGTGGCTTGGGTAGTAAGAGGTAAGCATTTGGCTGAGGCAAGTTGTTCATTCAGAATAAATTCACAGCTGCTTAAATTTTGTCAACAGGCCGAGCGTGTTGGCTCATGCCTGTAATCCCAGCACTTTGGAAGGCCGAGGCAGGCGGATCACGAGGTCAGGAGTTCAAGACCAGCCTAACCAACATAGTGAAACCCCATCTCTACTAAAAATACAAAAATTAGCAGGGTGTGGTGGCGCACGCCTGTAATTCCAGCTACTCGGGAGACTGGGACAGGAGAATCGCTTGAACCCGGGAGGCGGAGGTTGCAGTGAGCCGAGATCGCACGGCTGCACTCCAGCCTGGGCAACAGGGCAAGACTCCAACTCAAAAAAAAAAAAAAATTGTCAACAGAGGCATAACTGAATGGTGAAACCAGTTTTCTTTTTCAATTTCTTTTTTTTCTTTTGTGCAGAGCTGAGGCTTCGAAGACCTCAGAGGACTTCTCTCAGCACTCACAGA
The DNA here is from genome assembly GCF_000001405.40 of Homo sapiens. Lineage (NCBI taxonomy): Eukaryota > Metazoa > Chordata > Mammalia > Primates > Hominidae > Homo > Homo sapiens. The sequence goes on from NW_025791763.1 coordinate 283,252, forward strand.
AACCTCCTACACCCTCGGATGGCACAAAGGGACTGTTTTCTTACTCTTAGTCTGAGTGACTGCCAAGGAAGGCAAAGGTAGAGCAACTGGATCTCTGGCTCTCCACATAGCTTCTGATCTCAGACCTTACTAAAATGCTTTCTGGGCCCAAGGACAAAGCTCACATGAACAAATGATTTTGAGTCATGAATGAAAAATCTTGCTCTTTCCATAGTAAAGAAGAATTAAGAGATGGACAGGTAAGCATGCACTCTTATTTGGGAAAGGTGGTGTTGGTTTGAGATATATCATTAAGTATAGTAAGAATATATTAAGAGAATATTTGGAAAAATTTAGAAACCCTCATTATAGTTCTCTTTGTTCTGTAAGAAGGAGCTTCTATTCACCTCAGGGTCAATTGCTTTTCCTAATAGCTTGTTTTGTAAGTGAGTTATGAGATTTTTGTTTTCTTTTTGCTTGGGTAGTGGGGAGAATTTCATTGAGGAATCACCCAAGAAATCTGTATTTCATTGATTTGGATCATTACCTTACTAGCCTCTTCCCTGTGAAACGCTTGCTTTGGCCTGATCATCCTCAGGACTCAGTTCAATGTGATATGTCTTTGTATGAGCCGGGCAGCTAACCCTACATGCCTTACCTTTCACACTACTTTGCCCACCCAAAAATGGTCTTAAATGGAGGCTGTGGGATTCAGTGGCCAGACTGGGACAAAGCCTTTGCTTTGGGTCTCCAGAAAGATTTTCTTCACTGTAGTAATATGCGAACTGTTCCAAAGAGGGAAGTCTTTGGACACTGGAGGGGACTGAATTGGAGAAGGAAAGGAAGGATGAAATGAATCTCAGGTACACAGATGCCTGCAGGAAGTTGTTCAGCACAATGAATCACCAAATATTTTAGAGATAAAATTTCAACAAAAATTTGAGAAATATATTTTGTGCTTAGTACTGTGCCAATGGTTGTGAAACATATAAAAGAAATATAAGAGCCTGGAGGCAGTGGCTCACGCCTGTAATCCCAACACTTTGGGAGGCTGAGGTGGGCAGATCACTTGAGGTCGGGAGTTGGAGACCAGCCTGGCTAACATGATGAAACCCTGTCTTTACTAAAAATACAAAATTATCTGGGCATGGTGGTGCATGCCTGTAATCCCAGCTACTCAGGAAGCTGAGGCAAGAGAATCGCTTGAACCCAGGAGGCGGAGGTTGCAGTGAGCTGGGATCACACCATTGCACTCCAGCCTGGGTGACCAAGTGAGACTCTGTCTCCAAAAAAAAAAAAAAAAAAAATGAAAAAAGAAATATAAGAGAAGGTCCTTATGCAGGCCTTTTGCAGAGGAACTTTTGCTGCATACAAGGGTTACTGGACTTAGAGGTGTGAGACAGCATTGTAGCCCCAGCTAGTAAGGTAGGTTGCCTTGAGTAGGTGGAACTGACCTTGATCAGAGAAGAGAGTGGAGGTGTATTCTGGAGGAAAACTACATGAACAAAGGGATGGAAGTGAGGAGAGGGATCTGCAGCAGGTGTGTTGATTGCATTACAGTGGGAAATAAATGCTTAGCCATCATGAGCTCCTTTACCAGGGAGCTTGGTCAGCTGTGAGGTGTTTTGGCCTCCATCCTTGCATCTGGAACATGAAGAAATGAAAGTTGTGTTTAATGAGCATTAGTTGGAAAGGCAAAAAAAAAAAGCAGAAGGATTAGAGTAACAGGATGATCTGGGAT